>NT_187517.1:0-256271 GCF_000001405.40 Homo sapiens | reverse complement strand
GAATTCATCTTCAGAAGTGATAGCATTTCCTGCTTGGCATTTTTTGCCTACATTTTTGGCATAAGATCTATCAACAAAAAGTATGAACCCAGGTTTGTGTAATGGAATATCTTAAACATCAATAGGAGGAGTCAATAGTTCTGATGCCACACACACACATGTATGGTCTTCTCCATCATCAGAAAATGGCAACAAAGTGGTAGAGTTATGCAGAGTGTAGCATTTGAAATGGAGATTTGAAGGTGACAAGGAAAGGATTTTGTAAGACATTAGTGTACAAGTTGAGCAATGTTGGTTCCTGTCACAATATTTTTATTGATTTATTTATTTTATTCATTTATTTTTTGAGATGGAGTCTCGCTCCGTCACCAGGCTGGAATGCAGTGGCACGATCTCAGCTCACTTCGACCTCTGCCTCCCCGGTTCAAGCAATTTTCCTGCCTTAGCCTCCTAAATAGCCGGGACTACAGGTGCATGCCACTACACCTGGCTAATTTTTTGTATTTTTAGTAAAGACGGGGTTTCACCATGTTAACTAGGATGGTCTCAATCTCCTGACTTCGTGGTCTGTCTGCCTTGGCCTCCCAAAGTGCTGGGATTACAGGCCTCAGCCACCATGCCTGGTCGGTTCACATCAAAATTTAAGAGGTATTCAATTGCATATGAAACTTGTAGGCAAAGTTTATTTCTTTTTTCTTTAAAGCATTAATTAATTTATTTATTTATAATGTATTTATTTATTAATTTTTTTTTGAGATGGAGTTTCACTCTTGTTTTCCAGGCTGGAGTGCAATGGTGCGATCTCAGCTCACTGCAACTTCTGCCTCCCGGTTCAAGTGATTCTCCTGCCTCAGTCTTCCAGTTAGCTGGAATTACAGGCACAGGCCACCACACACAGCTAGTTTTTGTATTTTTAGTAGAGACAGAGTTTCACTATGTTGCCCAGGCTGGTCTGGAACTCCTGACCACAGGTGATGCACCCACCTCGGCCTCTGAAAGTGCTGAGATTACAGGCATGAACCACCGTGCCCGGCCTAAACTCATCACTTTTAATACTTTCTACATCACATGAGGAAGAAGAGCAGAAACACTTGAGTACTTCATGAAAGTCAAGGTTGGTATGAGTTTGGGTTCTAATATGATCAATTTCTGCTTCTAGGGAACCAAGCAGTTCAGGTTAAGGAAGGTCAGGAAACTCTAGGGTTTTCTCTCCCTCCAAAGAAAGCTTTACGCATCAACTTAACGGAGAAAGCAAATCTCATCCCCATGTTGTCACTTAATAAAAAGCCATACTTTCCTAAAAATGGTCCAAATGTCATTTGGACTGCTTCAAACACAGGAATTTTCTGAACTTCATGTGAAACCCCTCCTCAGAAATATTTTCCTTTCTCCAAGGGATTTGCTGATATATTGGCTGTACACTGGATATGGCAGCCCTGGTTTCCACCAATTCTGTACCTAAGTCTGCAATGATCTTAATCTCACCTTCTCCATTTTTATTTAAGGCTATTATAGAAAACAATTTACCAGAGAGTTATTTTAAATTCCATCAATATGGAGACATCAGAAATGTCCTCTAGCTGGATGTGGTGGCTCCTGCCTGTAATCCCAGCACTTTGGGAGGCTGAGGTGGTGGAATAACCTGAGGTTGGGAGTTCGAGACCAGCCTAACCAACATGGAGAAACCCTGTCTCTACTAAAAACACAAAATTAGCCAGCTGTGGTGGTGCATGAATGTAATCCCAGCTACTTGGGAGGCTGAGGCAAGAGAATCGCTTGAACTCGGGAGGTGGAGGTTGCAGTGAGCTGAGATCCCACCATTGCACTCCAGCCTGGGCAACAATAGTGAAACTCTACCTTAAAAAAAAAAAAAAAGGCAGAAAAGTAAAGAAAAACAAAAAAGAAATGTCCTCTAATGTGAACAACCTCTGGGACAAAAGCATTCTGTCCAATAGAGACCTGGTGCATAGGTGGACAATTTTCATTCCAATGGCCTGTTTCAAGGGTGGCAGGCAACTCTAGCAGGGTTTCTGTGTTTACACCAAACTGGATTTGAGTTTTAATAGTAAGGGGATCTCCCCCATAAAAAACCAACAGAAAATAATGGATGCTATGAAGAATATGGAGAAATGAGAACCCTGGTACAACATTGGTAGTTATGTAAATTAGTACAGCTACTAAGGAAGGCAGCATGGAGTTTCCTCCAAAAAATAAAAATAGGATTACCATATAAACCATAAATCCCACTGCTGGATATATATCCAGAAAAAAAAAAGAAATATATCCAGGAGATATCTACACTACCATGTTGGTCAGGCTGGTCTCGAACTCCTGACCTCAAGTAATCCACCTGCCTCAGCCTCCCAAAATTCTGGGATTACAGGCATGAGCCACTGCACTCAGCTTGCACTCTCCTATTTATTGTAGCACTATCCACAATAGCCAAAATTTGGAATCAACATAAGTGTCCATCAACAGATGAATGGATCAAGAAAATGTGGTAAATATACACAACAGAATATCATTGAGCTGTAAACATGAAGGAAATCCTGTCATCTGCGACAACATGGATGGAACTGGAGGGCGTTATGTTGAGTGAAGTAAGCCAGATACAGAAAGACAAACATGGCATGTTTGCACTCATATTTGGGAATTAAAAAACACGAAACTTAAAAATAGTAAAATGACGGTTATCAGAAGCTAGGAAGGGTACTGGGAAATAGAGAATAAGAAGGGGATGGTTAATGGGAACAAAAACACAGACAGGAATAAGATCTAGGGTTCAGTAGCACAATAGGGCAACTCGTGTTGACAATAGTTCATAGTAAATTTCTACATAATTAAAACAATGGAATTGGAATGTTGCTAACACAAAGAAATGATAAATTCTTGAGATGGTGGCTATTCCTGTTACCATGATTTGAACATTACACATTTTATGCTTATATCAGAATTTCAGGCCAGGTGCAGTGACTAATGTCTACAATCTGAGCACTTTGGGAGGCTGAGGCGGATGGTTTGCCTGAAGTCAGGAGTTCAAGACCAGCCTGGTCAACATGGTGAAACCCCCGTTTCTACAAAAAATACAAAAAATAGCCAGGCATGGTGGCGGGTCCCTGTAGTTCCAGCTACTCAGGAGGCTGAGGCAGGAGAATTGCTTGAACCCAGGAGGCAGATTTCTAGAGACTTCTGATGTATAAATGTCTAAAACAGGTTGATCAATCATGGAAGACACCAGAAAGTTTCCATTCAGGTTCCATTTATTTTTGACATTTTTAAATAACCATCCTTGCAGGGGTAAGTCCTGCATCACTCTAGAACTTCAGGTTCCATTTCTAAGTCTAGGACACAGGTCCCTGAAGGCCTCATTGATGCCAAGTCAGCATTTTTACCCAGTCCTGCCCCTGGCTGAGTCACCTTTGTTTTTCCACTCACAGTGAGCACGTGCCTCAAATACGTGGCTGTGTGCTTCCTTTAAGAAGCGGGTGACCGGGCCCTGCTGCTCACACCTGTAAACCTGGCACTGTGGAAGGCCAAGGTGGTCAGATCACTTGAGGTCAGGAGTTTGAGGTCAGCCTTCGCCAACATCGTGAAGCCCTGTCTCTACTAAAAATACAAAAATTAGCCAGGCGTGGGGGCATACACCCACAACACCAGCTACTTGGGAGGCTGAGGCAGGGGAATCACTTGAACCCAGGAGGTGGTGCTTGCAGTGAGCTGAGATTGTGCCACTGCACTTCATCCTGAGGGACACAGTGAGACTCTGTCTCAAAAAATAAAATAAAATAAAATAAAAATAAAATAAAATAAAAAATATAAAAAATAAAATAAAATTTTAAAAAATGCACCCATGTACAATATTTTAGTTCCCAAGTGTCCAGAAAAAAGCTTATCCATCCCACGAACCAGGCCTTCCCTAGGAGCAAAGATGGAAGTCCACTTTCTCAGATGGCCATGAGCCACAGGTAGGGCAAGGGACGGGACCAAAGAAGATCCTCTTGGGCTGCCTGACTTCCCTGAGTGTACGCATCAGCTCAGCCCGAATTGGGGTGAGGATCTCCCAATTGACATGACCCTTGTAGTCAAGACTCTCCAGAGGGGCAGGATACAACTCCAGGCCTAACTTGCTCAGCCCACGTGTGTGACGCAGCAGGTCTTTCAGAGCATTCATGGAGGTCTCATTTCCATGAAAGTTGAAGGTGGTGAGCTGGGAACAGTGGCTCAGGGCAGGCAGGAGGACCCTGAGTTGGGGGTCCTGGATCCGACAGTCCTTTAAGACGAGGGTCTTGAGAGTAGCAGCAACTTTCTCTAGCAGAGCTCCAAGGGGCTGAAGATTGGTGGTCCACATTAGGATATGAATCAGACGCAGCTCCTTTAGCTGACTGAGGCTTGGGTACTGAGACAGACACTCCATGTCCCGATCAGCTAGGTAAGCATCACTGAATATAAAGGCCCCCAAGGGGTTCTTGAGGTACCTGGGGAGAGCAAGAAGTTAGTTATGGGCAATGGTGCCAGTTAGAGGAGGGGGGTGGGAAATCATCTCAATGGTAAACTTGAAGTGGGCATTGAGTAATTCTGCACCTTACTACCACACAGGTGTTATAGTAACTGCAATGGGGAAGCCTGTTTCACCCAAACACAAGTTTGTTCCCATCATCAGATGATGGTCTGCATGCAAGGTGCTGCCTGATGAAGACTCAGATCATTCAGGGGCCACTCCATTTTAGGCTCAGTCCTTTCACCCTTGCCTGTGTGATTGGTACCACTCTCACACCTAGTCCCTCACCCTCCATCCCAGAAGCATGCACTTCTGATATCAATTATCTTTCCTGGAGTTCAAAACAACGTTTTACAGACAGGGAATTAGAGCAGTTTGCTAAGCTGCTGAAGACAGAGCTGCTACTGTGGAATGCACAGGTTTGATGTACTTTCTCTTTTTTTTTTTTTGAGACAGTCTCACATTGTAACCTAGGCTGGAGTGTAGTGGCACCGACTCAGCTCACTGCAGCCTCCACTTCCCTTGCCTCAGTCTCCCAAGCAGCTGGGATTACAGGTGCCTGTCTGCATGCCCGGTGACATTTTTTTTTTGTATTTTTATTAGAGACGGGGATTCACTGTGTTGGCCAGACTGGTCTCAAATTCCTGACCTCATGATCTCCCTGCCTTGGCCTCCCGAAGTGCTGGGATTACAGGCATGAGACACCACAACCGGCCACACCTTCCCTTCTTTCATACCATCCTCTGTATGAAGAATGTGTTTTCATCATATTAACTTTATACACTGTTCCTCACAAGGAGTTCACAAATGCACCCTCACTAGATCTGAACCCTCAACTAACCGGCTCCCTACACACCTCTCTCTGTGGCATCTACCCCAGGCCATCCCTCTGCCCTTATTTGAGTGGTCTTGTGATACCCACTTCAGGATATAGAGCACTGAAGAGCATAATGAGTTGACATTCTAGCGTCCCATTCCCTATGACATCACCGGTGGCTGGCACACAGTAGATGCCCACTAACATTTACTGTGAAAAAGAACATAAGTCTGTGGTATGGTCTGCAGAGAAAGCTCACCATCATTTCTTACCTGAGCAGGTGCTCCAGGTGCTCTTTGATATTACTGATCTTTTTTATATAAAGCATCTGGGGGTAGTACAGGCAGAGGAATGGAGAGTCCAAGTCAGGAATGCACGGCCACTGGACGCTCACGTACAACTCACGCTCATAACCGAAGGCTAAAAAGAGTTCACGAAGATTGCTCATCTGGCTCAGGTAAGGGGCAAACTTTCCCGTTTTATTGAGAGAGCACTTTTTCCAGACTTCCAACTCCTGGATACTGTCTGGGTATATCCTTTCCAATAGATTTCTGAAACTTGAAGTGGGCATTGAGTAATTCTGCACCTTACTACAACACAGGTGCACTAGGCCTCTTCTGTAGTGGATCCACCCAAAAAGGTAGCTCAGGCATTCATCCAGTGTACTTTCCTTTAGGCAGAGGTCTATGAACACCTTCAAGGGCTGGTGCTCTCCCATCCTTGGACAGTCCTCCACTGTCTGCCTCTTACTCATGGCCTCTGGGGAGCAGGAGAGGACCCTGGCTCCAGACCATATGGTCCAGAAATTCTCATCAACATCCTGCAAATCCAGCACTTGAAGTTTCCACCTCCTATGAGTAACATAGGGGAAAAGCTCAGAATGTAGGCAAGGACCCACCCCTGACCTGAGCTTTCACTCCACATCCAGGACATCAGTCAGCTGCTCCTGTCCTCAGTGCTCCTCCTTCTGTCTCTTCTCCATCCTGCTCCCTCTTGGATTCTGCCTGGTACCCACTTCTAGTACCTTTACTTTCTGCTGGGAGGAAGCAAGCTCCTGTTTCCTCAGTGGACCCTGTATGGTGAGCAGACCTTTTCCAGAGGATCTGGGCAATGGCCAAGGCCTCTCATGGGCACCGTCAGAAGCCTCTGAGCCACCCTAGCTCCCCAACCCCACCACTCCTCCTGAGCCAGCTGTCCCTTCCCTGGATGCCTGGACCCTTCCCCGAAAGCCACCTGAGTCACCTCACCTGGGGCGAACCTTCTGGGCCACCAGTGTATCAAGTCCCCTCAGGACAGCTTGCAAGGTCTCCAGATGAGGTGTCTTCATCAGGGATCCCAGAGGGAGGCGGAGGAAGGGCCAGGCCTGCACCATCAGCTTCAGGGCCTCAAAACGTCTCATGCTGAAGGCCTCCATGAACATCAGAGGGAAGACCTCCCTGGGCAGCTCATCCAGGGTGAAGATGGTCAAGAACTGGTTCCTCAGCAGGCTCTGCCCTGCCAGCTCCAGCAGTCTGGATGGGGCCTGGAGGCTCATTCTGACAAATCTCCGAGGAAAAACTCTAGAGGACAATCAAGTGAAAAGGCAAGTTTCTCGGGCCATTCCCCAGCAAGCCCCACTTCTCCTAGGGCCAAAGTCATTTCTCTAGCACGTGTGAAAGAGCCCTCAGTTTACTCCAATTCCGTTCTGCAATAAGTGGCTACAGAGGCATGGTTCTGCCCTTCTGGTACCAAGAAGAGTGTGTCCCAACCTCTAAAGAGCAGGCAAGATCCCTCCTAGTCCATGAATTATTAGCCACTGTTGCAATAAACTCATAGCACTGGGAAATGTTACCGAGGATCTCTGAAGCTCGGATCTCATGCCCAGCTAATCTTTTATTTTTTGACTTTTTGTAAAGACAGTGGGTTTCACTATGTTGTCCAGGCTGGTCTTGAACTCCTAGACTCAAACATTCCACCCGCCTTGGCCTCCCAAAGTACTGGGATTACAGGCGTAATCCTCTTCCCGGACTCATTATTGAAAATTTCACCAAGAAGCTTTGAAAGCTGTGTGACAGTGTTATGCATCATTCGCAAGACACAGATGTTTCCAATACACACCTCTTACGCATGTTCAAAATGAACCACTTTGGCTGTGCGCAGTGACTCACACCTGTAATCCCAGCACTTTGGGAGGCAGAGGCATTGGATTATCTGAGGTCAGGAGTTTGAGACCATCCTGGCCAACATGGTAAAACACTACCTCTACTAAAATTACAAAAATTAGCCAGGTGCAGTGGTCTGCGCCTATAGTCCAAGCTACTAGGGAGGCTGAAGCAGGAGGATCGCTTGAACCCAGGAGGCATAGGTTGCAGTTAGCTGAGATTATACCACTACAATCCAGCCTGGGAAATTGGCTAGATTCAAAAAAGAGAGAGAGAGAGAGAGAACTACATTGGATTAGACTTCTTAAGCTCCATCCAGTTAATCATGATTGGATTTTTGTCTTTCTTCCAGATTAACTATCAAATTAGATATTCATCCATGAAAGTGAAATATTTAGGGATATGGTGAAAGTCCAGGACTCATTCACTGATTTACTCCACAAACATGGAATTTTAGTAATATGTGACCTTTGTAGTTCTGAGTGTGAGATAGGGAAGAGTTGAATCTCTTCCTGACATTAGACAGAAAGAAAAAAACTCGAAAGTATCTTTGTTGAGAGATCCTTGGCCACATCAAATTTATCAAAATATTTCAGAGTTAAAACAGTTTTACAAAGATAGACATGACAGTCCCTAAGAAAACACAGTAGAAATCTTCATGAATCCAATGATCACCTGGGTGGTATAATTTAATTTTTTTCGTGTCGGGGTAGCTGAGTCTCACTTCATCACCCAGGCTGGAGTACAGTGGTGCCATCTCAGCTCACTGTAACCTCTGCCTCCCAGGTTCAAGTGATACTTATGCTTCAGCCTTCCATGTAGCTGGGATTACAGGCATGCACCTCCACACCCATGTCTCCGTTTGGGTGGAAGAGTTACAATGAGGATGTGATTGGTTTAAAATTAAGGTCAAAGATCCTCTTTGGTTAAGATTTTTTTTCTTTAATAGGGCCTCGCAATGTTGCCCAGGCTGGAGTACAGCAGTGGTATGAGCATGGCTCACTGCAGCCTCAATCTTCTGGGCTCAATTGTTTCTCCCATGTCAGCAACCCATACAGTTGGGAAGACAGATGCATGCTACCATGCCCGGCTAATTAAAAAATATGTATATTTTGTAGAGGCCAAGCACCAGTGGCTCATGGCTGTAATCCCAGCACTTTGGGAGGCCAAGGCAGGTGGATCACTTGAGGTCAGGAGTTTGAGACCAACTTGGCCAGCATGGTGAAACCCCACCTCTACTAAAAATACAAAAAGTAGCCAGGCAAGTTGGCAGTTGGATGTAATACCAGATACTCAGGAGGCTGAGGCATGAGAATTGCTTGAGCCTGGGAGGCAGAGGTTGCAATGATTTGAGATCGTGCCACTGCACTCCAGCCTTGGAAACAGAGCGAGACTCCATCCCCCCTTCAATAAAGAATATTTTATAGAGATGGGTTTTTGCCGTGTTGTCCAGGTTGGTCTCAGACCCCTGGGCTGAAATGATCCTCCCGCCTTGGTCTCCCAAAGTGTTGGGGTTAAAGGCATGAGTCACTGCTCCCTTCAAGAATTTTGAAATGACATAAACCAAAGCACAATCCAATTTTTTGAAATAAAGACAAAACTGCATTTAGAGGAAAAAATGCAAAGCTTCAAATTGTTCATATGAGAAAAAAAACAAAACAGGATATAACTCTATGCCATCTTAGGCTGCACTGTCACCATCCCAGACCAGCTGACTGTAGGTCAGTTGGGAGTGTCCTTACAGAGAGATTAGTGACTTACCAGATCTGGACTCAGTTTGGAGGGTGCTCAGACCTCAGGAAGAACTAAGCAGGAACTCCAGACTTGAAGACTTTGGGTCTCTTCTGTGGGTCTTTAGAAGCTTTTATTGACCTTTCTAATCACAACTCCCACCCACACCCCTCCACGTATCCACTGCTAGCTTCCAATCAACAAGTGATATCTGATTGCATTTCTGAAGCTCCACCCAGTTAATCCTGATTGGGGTTTTGGCTCTCCCCAGATTAATGGATTGAATCAGATATCCATTCATATCAGATATCCATATTAAGTTCATGAATCAAGAAATTGACAGTGTTAGGGATAGGGTGGGAATCAAGAATGCATTCATTCAAGACCGGGCAAGGTGGCTCACTCCTGTAATCCCAGCACTTTGGGAAGACAAGTTGGGTGGGTCACCTGAGTTCAGACATTCAAGACGAGCCAGGCCAACAAGGTGAAACCCCGTCTCTACAAAAATACAAGAATTAGGCAGGGACGATGGCACATGCCTGTAATCCAGCTACTCAGGAGGCTGAGGTGGGAGAATCGCTTGAACCCAAGAGGCAATGGTTGCAGTGAACCAAGATTGCACCATTGCACTCCACTCTGGGTGACAGAGGGAGAATTTGTCGGAAAAAAAAAATTCATTCATTCGTGAACTTCACAAACACTGATGGAATTTCACTAATATGTGACCTGCATAGTCCTGAGTCTGAAGCAGGGAAGGGTCTAATCTTTCCCAGATATTAGACAGAAAACTAAAATCTGAAAGTAGTATTGTTGGGAGATCTTTGGCCACATCAAAATCACAAAAATGTTTTATAGTTAAAATAGCTTTATAAAAACAGAGGAGTCGTCCCTACAAAATCAAAATAAAAATCTCCATGTATTGAATGGTCTTGTGGGTTTTATATCACCTAAGGTAGCAATTTTTTCACTCCTGCTGGTGGAAGAGAGGTGCCACTGAGGACCTGAGTGGTCTCAGGGCTTAGGTTAAGGTTACTCTGGAAGAAATTGCAACCATACTTATAAACTTTATAAATTTAATCAGTGAAGAAGGGAGGGGGAGAAACAGACATAAACCAAGCTTGCAGTGCATTCAGCATTCATCATGAGGTCAGCTTGCTCTCTGACCTGCTTCCTCATGGTTGCTGGCAGCCTGCTGTCCCAAAATCATGTAGACCTTAGATTACAGTTGCCCTTAACTGCCCTGCAGACAACAATTTAGGCCTTGTAAAACATTAACTTTTTCATTTGACATATTCTTTCAGGTTCTGCATGTCAGTGAAGCTACTGATGGCAGGTGATCTGAAGGGCCCTGCAAGGCACCAACTCACCAAGGAATGCAGTTTTGACATCCTGATGACTTCATACCTCTTACTGCCACCAAACTGCACCAACTTTCCAGCCTCTTGCTATCCATGATCCTCTGAAAACTCTCAGTACTTCTTGGGGAGATGAATTTGAGGGTCTCCTCCCAGCTTTTCATTTTGCCACCCTGTGATCGTTAAACTCTCTGCTGCAAACCCTGCTGTCTCAGAATATTAGTATGCTACTGTGCTGCAGGCATAGGAACCTGATGGTCCTGTAAAAAAAGTCATGTCAAAATTACAAAGGGAAGTGAAGGTGGAGGCTGGTCAGGGTTGAGCTGTGTGTTTTAATGGGATCCGGGGAGTGAACCAAGACTTGGTAAACATGTTGGGGGTTATTGAGGGCGTGGAGGAGGAATCTTTCCAACATTGCACTGAGGCCCCCTTGGTGTTGATACTTGTGACCAAGAATGAGTCTTCCAAAACAGTGTATGTAATTCTCCTGATTTTTCCTTTCAAAACCTTTGTCTTCCTTTACCTCCCTGAATAATCTCACATCTATTCCCATTGCTTTGCTCATTTCATAATAAAAATCCTTTTTTTTTAAAAAAGAATCTCTTTCTCTGTGAAGTAGACCATATATTTTATTGCCACACAACATGAGTAGCCTGGTATTATGGAGAGAAAGGGTCAAAAGGATCCCATTCCCCACCAGCTGGGGGTGATATAAAGGTCCTGGTTATTATTTGTCATATGTGCACCTGCATATTGCCAGTGAAAACTTACAGGTCACATTTTTCAGGAGTCCAAATTAACCACCTGTGGAAGGTCTTATGATTGGCTTACATTCTGTCCCTGAGTAAAGAATCTGATCTTGAGTTCATGAGTGCCTCAAACTCTGCAATTATTGATGAAGCTTCACCCACTTACAGTGAGAAGGACACTGATTTGATTCTGATCATGAAGTTTCACTGGTTGTCTTGCAAGGAAAATGTTTAACTTGTTATGTTGTCAGCTAAAGTCAATGATTGTAACCTCTGTATTGTACCTTCCAATGGAAAAAACAAAAACAAAACAAAAACTCAACTCTATTTGAGCCTTGCCAGGTCAGTAAAACAAAAGAAAATTTAAAAAAAAAGCTGATAGGAGGAGTCTCATTCCCTTCTTTTAACTTTTCTCACAAAAGCATTCCAACTTGTAACAGACTTTGGAACACACCCACTTTGTTGGTCTGTGTCTTCCACATTGATTCTCACATTTAGCTTCCAATGAAGATTTATTTAATTATTTCTGCCTTAAGCGCCTTACCTTCCACTGACACCAGGTTGCATGGTGACAGTTTGAACTGGGGTGGGATGAAAAAATATTTTTATGAATTTTATTATATAATCCTTGCATGTCATCTCCATTGAAGAATGAATAGGGTCTTCTCCAAATATGTGCTGAGTATGGATGCATCCAATAAATGAAACTATTGTTTATTTCATATGGTAGAGCTATAGATGCATTCTATTTGCCTCGAGTTTCCAATGAACAAATGTCTAGTTTCAGTAAGTTCTCTGATTATATGGCAGAGGATAACATGGTCATGTTCTGATTCTGTGTCTATGTCAATACTTATAGCATTTCAGTCTTCATAATGTGTGTCAAATGAAAGAGTTTGATTCCAAGGGGAGTCTGGGACACTACCTAGATTAGACCCGGTTACACTAATGTTTCCTATGCATGGAGATAAGTTACAAGTAATGAAATCAACAATAGTCATAGGCCACCCATTTGCATCTATAGCTTCTGCTCAGTGCCAAGTCATTTAATTATCAATATTAACCAACCGTGTGTGAGAGCAGGTTCTACTATTAGTTGTGATCCTTCCCATTCATCTAAATGACTCCATAGCCAGTAATTGCTTTGGTTAGTGAGAGTGGCTAAATTTTGAATAGGAGAACTTAGAAAGTGTTTGCTTTGACTGGTGAAAGTACGTAACAAAATAAAATGTAGGCTTGATCATTTTGTGTTAATACAAAACAAAACCAAGTCTCAGTCAGTGGAAGGAGATCAAATGGAGTTTTGTCCCATTTTCTTAAAAAAGCTGTCTACCATGTGATGATGTCTGCTTCTAAGAAAGACTTTGTTCCTTGGTTATCCTTAATTTTAAGTCACCTGGTATGGTCCCATCCAATGCTGCTCATGGGCAGATTTCCCTTGGTGTCATTTTAAAAGATGCAGTCTCCAAATGGTAGGGCATGAAGGTCCAGTGATCATCGAAACCCTCCTTCACCAACTGGAAATAGGCTTTGAAAGGTCTTGCAGTACTGAGTCATATTGTTACTGAACGATGGGCTCACTCTCCTAAGTGCATAGAAAAGCAAAAAAGGCTGGGCATGGTGGCTGACACCTATATTTGCAGCACTTTAGGAGGCCAAGGTAGGCGGATCACAAGGTCAGGGGTTCGAATCCAGCCTGGCCAATATGGTGAAACCCTGTCTCTATGAAAAATACACAAATTAGCTGGGTGTGATGACCCATGTCTGTAATCCCAGCTACTTAGGAGGCTGAGGCAGAAGAATCACTTGATCCTGTGAGGCAGAGGTTGCAGTGAGTCGAGATTGCACCTCTGCACTCCAGCCTGGGTGACAGAGCAAGACTCCATTTTGGGAAAAAAAAATTTATTAACAGTTAACTGGGCTGGGCACAGTGGCTTATACCTGTAATCCCAGCACTTTAGGAGGCCAAGGTGGGCGGATCACAAGGTCAGGAGCTCCAGATCAGCCTGACCAATATGGTGAAACTCCCTCTCTATTAAAAATACAAAAATTGCTCTCCCTCTCCCTCTCCCTCTCCCTCTCCCCACGGTCTCCCTCTCCCCACGGTCTCCCTCTCCCCACGGTCTCCCTCTCCCTCTCTTTCCACGGTCTCCCTCTGATGCCGAGCCGAAGCTGGACTGTACTGCTGCCATCTCGGCTCACTGCAACCTCCCTGCCTGATTCTCCTGCCTCAGCCTGCCCAGTGCCTGCGACTGCAGGCGCGCGCCACCACGCCTGACTGGTCCTCGTATTTTTTTGGTGGAGACGGGGTTTCGCTGTGTTGGCCGGGCTGGTCTCCAGCTCCTAACCACGAGTGATCCGCCAGCCTCGGCCTCCCGAGGTGCCGGGATTACAGACGTAGTCTCGTTCACTCAGTGCTCAATGTTGCCCAGGCTGGAGTGCAGTGGCGTGATCTCAGCTCGCTACAACCTCCACCTCCCAGCCGCCTGCCTTGGCCTCCCAAGGTGCCGAGATTGCAGCTTCTGCCCGGCCGCCACCCCGTCTGGGAAGTGAGGAGCGTCTCTGCTCGGCCGCCCATCGTCTGAGATGTGGGGAGCGCTTCTGCCCCGCCGCCCCTTCTGGGAGGTGAGGAGACCCTCCACCTGGCAGCCGCCCCGTCTGAGAAGTGAGGAGCCCCTCCACCCGGCAGCCACCCCGTCCGGGAGGGAGGTGGGGGTCAGCCCCCGCCAGGCCAGCTGCCCCGTCCGGGAGGGAGGTGGGGGGTCAGCCCCCCGCCCGGCCAGCCGCCCAGTCCGGGAGGTGAGGGGCGCCTCTGCCCGGCCGCCTCTACTGGGAAGTGAGGAGCCCCTCTGCCCGGCCATCACCCCGTCTGGGAGGTGTACCCAACAGCTCATTGAGAATGGGCCATGATGACAATGGCAGTTTTGTGGAATAGAAAAGGGGGAAAGGTGGGGAAAAGATTGAGAAATCGGATGGTTGCCATGTCTGTGTAGAAAGAAGTAGACATGGGAGACTTTTCATTTTGTTCTGTACTAAGAAAACTTCTTCTGCCTTGGGATCCTGTTGATCTATGACCTTACCCCCAACCCTGTGCTCTCTGAAACATGTGCTGTGTCCACTCAGGGTTAAATGGATTAAGGGTGGTGCAAGATGTGCTTTGTTAAACAGATGCTTGAAGGCAGCATGCTCGTTAAGAGTCATCACCACTCCCTAATCTCAAGTACCCAGGGACACAAACACTGCGGAAGGCCGCAGGGTCCTCTGCCTAGGAAAACCAGAGACCTTTGTTCACTTGTTTATCTGCTGACCTTCCCTCCAGTATTGTCCTATGACCCTGCCAAATCCCCCTCTGTGAGAAACACCCAAGAATGATCAATATATAAATAAATAAATAAATATACAAAAATACAAAAATTAGCTGGGCATGGTGGTGCATGCCTGTAATCCCAGCTACTGGGGAGGCTGAGGCAGGAGAATCACTTGAACCTGGAAGGCCAATGTTGCAGTGAGCTGAGATCATGCCACTGCACTCCAGCCTGGGCAACAGAGTGAGACTCTGTCTCAAAGAAAAAAATAAAAATAAAAATAAAAAAGAGTTAACTGACAAGCAGATAGGAGACAAGTTCTAAACCTGTCTCCCCAATCTGGGGATGGTGGAGCAAGCTTGCATCATCTCTCCAACTGGTTTCAGATGATGCCAATTCAAACAGTCCGCCTGGCTGTGTTAATAGTTAAGAGGTTAAACCTTTTTCCCATCGGACATGCCTGAGCAATTTGGGCTTTGCGTCATCACCTGTAACAACTTAAGCAATGACTAATCTGTTGGAGTTGATCCTCTGGTTACATGATCAGAGCTAAAAAGTGCAGGGGATACATAATGTTCTATTATCAAAGGCATAGGTTCTCCAGTAAATACTTAATTATCAGTGTTTCTGATTGCAGTTGGTGAAAAAAAAATACCTTATGGGGGATCTGGCTGTGTTTTCCCATAGGGGGTGGTAAAAATTTCATTAAAGTAATCCAGTCTTGCTGGACATGATGGCTCACACCTGTAATCTCAGCACTTTGGGAGGCCGAGGCTGGTGGATCACTTGAGGCCAGGAGTTGAGCAATCTGGGCAACATGGTGAAACCCCGTTATCTACTAAAAATACAAAAATTAGCTGGGTGTGGTGGTATGCCTGTAATCCCAGCTACTTGGGAGGCTAAGGCATGACAATCACTTGAACCCAGGAGGCAGAGGTTGCAGTGAGCTGAGATAGCACCACTGAACTCCAGCCTGGGTAACAGAGACTCTGTCTCAAAAAAAAAAAAAAAAAAAATTAACCCAGTCTCCTTTGTTAGTTTAGCTAATTTTAGTTTCAAGATACCATTTCTTCACTCGACCTTTGTAGAATACCAAGGATAATGAAGTTAATGGTAGTGCCATTGGATCTGAAAAATCTTATCTGTGTGATCACCTGCCCAGTAAACGGAGTTCTCCTACCACTGGAGATTTCTCCAGAGATGCCCCAGAAAGGAAACACATTTTATAACCATTTATTCACTATGGCTGTGGCATCAGCCTTTCTAAAAAGGTAAGCTACAACCCATCCTGAAAACAGACACACAATCACAAGAATTGTAGCCTTTTTACATGGCTCACTGACATCATTGGTCCATGACATTCCCCTTTCTTGCAGCTATATGTGTGTATGTCTATCTATTCCTATCTATATCTATACTTAATTTTTATTACCATGATTCACTTCCACTCCCCTTTCCATAGATAGCCACTCTACTCTTTGACCTAGCCTTGAATTTGCATGTGACCTCTTAGAATATAAGTATATAGAAAGTATTTAGAATATATACTTAAGATGGCTGAATAGGAACAGCTCCAGTCTACAGCTCCCAGCATAAGTGATGCAGAAGATGGGTGATTTCTACATTTCCAACTGAGGTACCAGGTTCAACTCACTGGGGAGTGCCAGACAGTGGGTGCAGGACAGTGGGTGCAGTGCACCGTGCGTGAGCTGAAGCAGGGCGAGGCATCGCCTCACCTGGGAAGCACAAGGGGTCAGGGAATTCCCTTTCCTAGTCAAAGAAAGGGGTGACAGATGGCACCTGGAAAATCAGGTCACTCCCACCCTAATACTGCGCTTTTCTAATGGGCGTAACAACTGCACACCAGGAGATTATATCCCACACCTGGCTTGGAGGGTCCTGTGCCCACGGAGCCTTGCTCATTGCTAGCACAGCAGCCTGAGATCAAACTGCAAGGCGGCAGCAAGGCTGGGGGAGGGGCCCCCACCATTGCCGAGACTTGAGTAGGTAAACAAAGCAGCCCAGAAGCTGGAACTGGGTGGAGCCCATCACAGCTCAAGGAGGCCTGCCTGCCTCTGTAGACTCCACCTCTGGGGGCAGGGCACAGACAAACAAAAGAAAGCAATAACCTCTGCAGACTTAAATGTCCCTGTCTGACAGCTTTGAAGAGAGTAGTCGTTCTCCCAGCATGCAGCTTGAGATCTGAGAACGGGCAGACTCCCTCCTCAAGTGGGTCCCTGACCCCCGAGTAGCCTAACTGGGAGGCAACACCAAGTAGGGGCAGACTGACACCTCACACAGCTGGGTACTCCTCTGAGACAAAACTTCCAGACGAAAGATCAGACAGCAGCATTTGCGGTTCACCAATATCCACTGTTCTGCAGCCTCTGCTGCTGATACCCAGGCAAACAGGGTCTGGAGTGGACCTCCAGCAAACTCCAACAGAACTGCAGATGAGAGTCCTGACTGTTAGAAGGAAAACTAACAAACAGAAAGGACATCCACACCAAAAACCCATCTGTACATCACCATCATCAAAGACCAAAGGTAGATAAAACCACAGAGATGGGCAAAAAACAGAGCAGAAAAACTGGAAACTCTAAAATTCAGAGTGCCTCTCCTCCTCCAAAGGAACGCAGCTCCTCACCAGCAATAGAACAAAGCTGGATGGAGAATGACTTTGATGATTTGAGAGAAGAAGACTTCAGAAGATCGAACTACTCCGAGATAAAGGAGGAAGTTGGAACCAATGGCAAAGAAGTTAGAAACTTTGGGAAAAAATTAGACAAATGGATAACTAGAATAACCAATGAAGAGAAGTTCTTAAAGGACCTGATGGAGCTGAAAACCATAGCATGAGAATTATATGACGAATGCACAAGCCTCATTAACATATGCAATCAACTGGAAGAAAGGGTATCAGCGATGGAAGATGAAATGAATGAAATGAAGTGTGAAGAGAAGTTTAAAGAAAAAAGAATAAAAAGAAAAAAACAAAGCCTCCAAGAAATATGGTACTATGTGGAAAGACCAAATCTATGTCTGACTGGTGTACCAGAAAGTGGTGGGGAGAATGGAACCAAGCTGGAAAACACTCTGCAGGATATTATCCAGGATAACTTCCCCAATCTAGCAAGGCAGGCCAACATTCAAATTCAGGAAATACAGAGAATGCCACAAAGATACTCCTCGAGAAGAGCAACTCCAAGACACATAATTGTCAGATTCGCCAAAGTTGAAATGAAGGAAAAAATGTTAAGGGCAACCAGAGAGAAAGGTCGGGTTACCCACAAAGGGAAGCCCATCAGACTATCAGCTGATCTCTTGGCAGAAACTCTACAAGCCAGAAAGAGAGTGGGGGCCAATATTCAACATTCTTAAAGAAAAATATTTTCAACCCAGAATTTCATATCCAGCCAAACTAAGCTTCATAAGTGAAGGAGAAATAAAATACTTTACAGACAAGCAAATGCTGAGAGATTTTTGTCACCACCAGGCCTGCCCTAAAAGAGCTCCTGAAGGAAGCACTAAACGTGGAAAGGAACAACCAGTACCAGCCACTGCAAAAACATGCCACGTTGTAAAGACCATCAAGGCTAGGAAGAAACTGCATCAACCAATGAGCAAAATAACCAGCTAACATCATAATGACAGGAACAAATTCACACATAACAATACTAACCTTAAATATAAATGGGCTAAATGCTCCAATTAAAAGACACAGACTGGCAAATTGGATAAAGAGTCAAGACCCATCAGTGTGCTGTATTCAGGAAACCCATCTCACGTGCAGAGACACACATAGGCTCAAAATAAAGGGATGGAGGAAGATCTACCAAACAAATGGAAAACAAAAAAAGGCAGGGGTTGCAATCCTAGTCTCTGATAAAACAGACTTTAAACCAACAAAGATCAAAAGAGACAAAGAAGGCCATTACATCATGGTAAAGGGATCCATTCAACAAGAAGAGCTAACTATCCTAAATATATATGTACCCAATACAGGAGCACCCAGATTCATACTTTTTTTTTTTTTTTTTTTTTTTTGAGCAGTAGCAAGATTTATTGCAAAGAGCGAAAGAACAAAGCCTCCACACTGTGGAAGGGGACCCGAGCGGGTTGCCCCACCCAGATTCATAAAGCAAGTACTTAGTGACCTACAAAGAGACTTAGACTCCCACACAATAATAATGGGAGACTTTAACACCCCACTGTCAACATTAGACAGATCAATGAGACAGAAAGTTAACAAGGATATCCAGGAATTGAACTCAGTTCAGCACCAAGCAGACCTAATAGACATCTACAGAACTCTCCACCCCAAATCAACAGAATGTACATTCTTTTCAGCACCACGCCACACCTATTCCAATATTGACCACATAGTTGGGAGTAAAGCACTCCTCAGCAAATGTAAAGGAACAGAAATTATAACAAACTGTCTCTCAGAACACAGTGCAATCAAACTAGAACTCAGGATTAAGAAACTCACTCAAAACTGCTCAACTACATGGAAACTGAACAATCTGCTCCTGAGTGACTACTGGGTACATAACGAAATGAAGGCAGAAATAAAGATGTTCTTTGAAACCAATGAGAACAAAGACACAACATACCAGAATCTCTGGAACACATTCAAAGCAGTGTGTAGAGGGAAATTTATAGCACTAAATGCCTACAAGAGAAAGCAGGAAAGATCTAAAATTGACACCCTAACATCACAATTAAAAGAAGTAGAGAAGCAAGAGCAAACACATTCAAAAGCTAGCAGAAGGCAAGAAATAACTAAGATCAGAGCAGAACTGAAGGAAATAGAGACACAAAAAACCCTTCAAAAAATCAATGAATCCAGGAACTGGTTTTTTGAAAAGATCAACAAAATTAATAGACTGCTAGTAAGACTAATAAAGAAGAAAAGAGAGAGGAATCAAATAGATGCAATAAAAAATGACAAAGGGGATATCACCACTGATCCCACAGAAATACAAGCTACCATCAGAGAATACTATAAACACCTCTACGCAAATAAACAAGAAAATCTAGAAGAAATGGATAAATTCCTCGACATACACACCCTCCCAAGACTAAACCAGGAAGAAGTTGAATCTCTGAACAGACCAATAACAGGCTCTGAAATTGAGGAAATAATTAATAGCTTACCAACCAAAAAAAGTCCAGGACCAGTTGGATTCACAGCCGAATTCTACCAGAGGTATAAGGAGGAGCTGGTACCATTCCTTCTGAAACTATTCCACTTAATAGAAAAAGAGGGAATCCTCCGTAACTCATTTTATGAGGCCAGCATCATCCTGATACCAAAGCCTGGCAGAGACACAACAAAAAAAGAGAATTTTAGACCAATATCCTTGATGAACATTGATGCAAAAATCCTCAATAAAATACTGGCAAACTGAATCCAGCAACACATCAAAAAGCTTATCCACCATGATCAAGTGGGCTTCATCCCTGGGATGCAAGGCTGGTTCAACATACGAAAATCAATAAACATAATCCAGCATATAAACAGAACCAAAGACAAAAACCACATGATTATCTCAATAGATGCAGAAAAGGCTTTTGACAAAATTCAACAACCTTCATGCTAAAAACTCTCAATAAATTAGGTATTGATGGGACGCATCTCAAAATAATAAGAGCTATCTATGACAAACCCACAGCAAATATCATACTGAATGGACAAAAACTGGAAGCATTCCCTTTGAAAACTGGCACAAGACAGGGATGCTCTCTCTCACCACTCCTATTCAACATAGTGTTGGAAGTTCTGGCCAGAGCAATCAGGCAGGAGAAGGAAATAAAGGGAATTCAATTAGGAAAAGAGGAAGTCAAATTGTCCCTGTTTGCAGATGACATGATTATATATCTAGAAAACCCCATCGTCTCAGCCCAAAATCTCCTTAAGCTGATAAGCAACTTCAGCAAAGTCTCAGGATACAAAATCAATGTGCAAAAATCACAAGCATTCTTATACACCACTAACAGACAAATGGAGAGTCAAATCATGAGTGAACTCCCATTCACAATTGCTTCAAAGAGAATAAAATACCTAGGAATCCAACTTACAAGGGATGTGAAGGACCTCTTCAAGGAGAACTACAAACCACTGCTCAATGAAATAAAAGAGGATACAAACAAATGGAAGAATATTCCATGCTCATGGGTAGGAAGAACCAATATGGTGAAAATGGCCATGCTGCCCAAGGTAATTTATAGATTCAATGGCATCCCCATCAAGCTACCAATGACTTTCTTCACAGAATTGGAAAAAACTACTTTAAAGTTCATATAGAACCAAAAAAGAGCCCGCATTGCCAAGTCAATCCTAAGCCAAAAGAATAAAGCTGGAGGCATCATGCTACCTGACTTCAAACTATACTACAAGGCTACAGCAACCAAAACAGCACGGTACTGGTACCAAAACAGAGATATAGACCAACAGAACAGAACAGAGCCCTCAGAAATAATGCCACATATCTACAACTATCTGATCTTTGACAAACCTGACAAAAACAAGAAATGGGGAAACAATTCCCTATTTAATAAATGGTGCTGGGAAAACTGGCTAGCCATAAGTAGAAAGCTGAAACTAGATCCCTTCCTTACACCTTATAGAAAAATTAATTCAAGGTGGATTAAAGACTTACATGTTAGACCTCAAACCATAAAAACCCTAGAACAAAACTCATAGGTGTTCTCACTCGTAGGTGAGAATTGAACAATAAGAACACATGGACACACGAAGGGGAACATCACACACCGGGGACTGTTGTGGGGTGGGGGGAGGGGGGAGGGATAGCAATAGGAGATATACCTAATGCTAAATTATGAGTTAATGGGTGCAGCACACCAACATGGCACATGTATACATATGTAACAAACCTGCACGTTGTGCACATGAACCCTAAAACTTAAAGTATAATAATAATGAAAAAAGAATATATACTTGCATTTTGTGTGTGTATTTATTTTAATCCACGTATATGCTCTAGTGTATGGTGCTACAGAAGAGGGCCTGACAATTAATTGTCCAGTCCCAGACACTTTGGAGAGTGAATGGACGTGTTGTTATAATTAATTGCTTTTTTTTTTGGAGATGGAGTCTCACTCTGTTGCCAGGCTGGAGAGCAATGGTTCGATCCAAACCATATCACAGGGGGTAATGCTGTCAGACAACGTATTTCTATTTCACTAGTAAAATTTCTTTGGAATAACAGATTTGGCAGTGAATATAAACATAGCAAACATTAGACCTGATGCTCTGGACCCCAACTCTTGCACAAGCCTCTGACTGTGGAGTTTTATTTGAAAGGATGAAAATGAGCAGCAGATTGCAGGGACTGGGACAGTATCATGTCACCGCCAAAGATGTTGACAAACAGACATTCCGTCATTCCAGTCCCACCACTTACAGGCTGTCTGACCTTGAAAATTTCTCCCTCTCTCTTTGAATGTGTCTCTTTCTCCATCAAATGTGTAGAAGGATAATCTCAATCTTCAGGTAAAAATGCTGAGCCCAAAGCATGGGGCATAATAAACCCTCCATAAATGTTGGCTACTTTTGTTGACATTCAAAGACAACAGGCATAATCAGGAAAACAGTTGAGGCCACAGGGGATAACTCAGCCCTAAGGCAGAGTCCTCTCCTGTGCCAACCACTCCCTCTGCCAGGACACAAGCTTCACATCCACCCCAGGAAGAATTAAGAGCAAGTCCTGCTGACTCTGCCTCCAGGACGTCCCTATGCTGTCCATGGCCACTCAAGTGGACACCAGGACCTCCTGTCTGGACAGTGCAAGAATCTTCTGAAGCGTGTCCCTGCCCTCTGGTTGTCCCCCCAGGGAACACGGTCCTCTCAGCCACCTCGGGGATGTGGAAGATAGGCTTCAAGTGGCCTCACAACCCTAATCCCAAACTGCCAATGACCCCTGAGTCACCCTTGCCCCTGGCTGCACCTCTCCAGTCTCATCTCCCTGAGCCAATTCACAACCTGCCAGTTCAGACACTGGTCTTCTCATTCTCTCTGTGTTTCCCCTAAAGCACGTGAACTAGTCATTTTGTCCTTCTTGCTGGGGTCTGAGTCACTGGCCAGTCAAGGCCAAATGCTGGATCAATGAGACAGGAGGAGGCCAATGACTCCAGGCCCCAGGTGAGTGAAAGGGAGGCTTTTATGAACTGGGTGCTATGGGAGAACCGCAGGCCCAGTGGGCATCCCTACAATGACCTCATGGTGTTTACATGTTTATGTGTGTGTGTGGTCAGCTAGGAAGTCACAGCTCTCCAGCATGGCTCCATGGCACAGAAAAGTAAAATATGCCATGTCTCTAGCAGGGCAAGTTTCCCGTGAGTCCAGCAAGAAGGCATGGGATCTGTGGAAAGGAGGCCTCTGGGAAAAACCCCACCTTTGAGGATAATGTTAAAAGCTGAACTTGAGACCCTGAGAATCCTATGTCCTTCCCACTCCCCGCAGGGCTTCTCTTGATCCGGCCCTGACTCCCGGATGCAGAAGCCCAGGGAGGAGCTGGGAGACAGGGAAACTTGCTGGGACGCTCCATGCATTTGTCTCCAAGAGGGTCCCCAAACCCAGGTGCCTGCAGCATCAGGGAGGCTCAGAGTTCCTGTGTCTGCCTGAAGGAAGCCTCATTTGCATGGATCCATGTAAGTTCTGAGATTCCTTCCCACACGTGGCCACCTGCAGGTGCCCCATAAATTCATCTTCCCAAGAAGAGCCAATGGGGATAGGCGAGGACCCCAAACCTGCTCCCAACCCCACATCCACAGGACAGAGAGGGATCACCTGAAGCACAGGCCAGGGGGTGAGTCCTGACCCCACTGTCTCCTCCTAATCCCAGAGGGCAGTGGAGTGGCCACAGGCACCCCACCAACTCCTCCTGTACCCCAAGCCCAAGATGAACAAACTTCCCGACTCACTGGCCTATCCCAACTTAAAAAAAAGCAGGACAACTCTCCCAGGTGGAGAAGACACCAGCTGCCTCTGCGGTGCTGAGCCCAGGAGGAAGATGATCACTGTTCAAACTGCCTTGGCAAGTTGTTTCAAAGAAATAAAACCCTTGGCTTCTCAGTGCTTTGAGTCACATTGCACTTAGTAAATGTTCGTTTTACTAATGTTTTTCACTTCCCTGTATATTTATATTCAGCAGTGAGAGACCTCTTCATATTCCAACAAAAAGTGATTAAAGGATTTGGGACACCTGTGATTATCCCCATGGGTTATTATGATCGCTCTGTACCGCGCAGCCTGCAGAGTTATTTTTCTGACCGGGATTGCAGTGCTGAGCCTGGTGTCCTCTGCTGAGTTCATTTTCCAGCTTCCTTGCATTTTATTCATCTTCCCTGGTAGCACCCGGAATTGCAGGAAGCAATCCCTGGTGCTCAGTGAAGGTCTTTGAATGAATCAAGGGGAGAGGAGTCAGGGGGAGGCAGAGGGTGTGGGAGGAGTCACATGTGCCAGAATCTTCTCTTCAGACATGTCACAGAGAGTCCCCTCCAGGCACTCTTGTTGGGCCTCAGTGCTGGACATTGGAGGACTTTTCTGACTGAGGATCATTGTGCCCTCTCTGGATCCACTGGAAAGCTCTGGGCAGCCATGTGAGCCTTGGTTTGACTTCCATCCTCCATGATTTTCCCTTTGCTTGTCAGAGGAGGTTTGGAATAACTTGGATGTCAGGGACTCTGAGCCAGACCCCATTCTTTTTCATTCCCTCCTGAAAAGCCCAGTCCTCACCGTCCCATAAGGCTCTGACCAGTGAAAAGATGGAGCTGCACGATTTCCAAAGAGAATCCTTTCCTTGGCCTCAAGCCACAGCTGCTTCCTTCTGACCTGCTGCTTGTCTTTGGATCCAGGATGGACACTCGCCACCCGCTCTTCCTCTCCTGGGACTCCCCACTCTCCTGACTCTGTGCCCCTGGGGCAGGATGGGGCAGCCACTAAAACCTCATGCAGACCAGGGCACATAAAGTGTCTTGGGAACTCACAGACCCAAGTCCAAGCCCCAGTGCCCCACGGTCTCAGACACAAGTCCCTGCCTTTCAGAGACACAGCTCTATGAGAGCCAGAGAACCTGGCTGCCTGCTCTGCTGCCACCTCCCTCCTTCCCCTTTATTTCAGCCCCATCAGCTCCTCTGATCACTCCCCTTCTTGGCCCCATTCCTACTTTCAGTCCCTCTGGCTCTGTCCAGCCTGGAGTGAGGGTGCAGACCTCCTCCCACCCCAGGCTCTGAGCACCTCCCTCAGCATCAAGTGTCTGCTTTCAGGGTGACCTTGTCCTCAGACTTGATTGGAGGAAGAAAGAGAGGAAGCCCCTACTTTAGCACACGATGTGCATGAATCTGACCTGGAATCAGACCCGGTTGAGGACCAGAGAAGGGCAACAGGGCCAGAACAGAGATTTTGACTCTTAGAAATGCACAGAGGGTGAACAGCTCAGGCTAAGAAGAGACCTGACTTGGACAGAAACAGACTGACTGCATTCCAGGTGCAGCCTTGTCAGCTCTAAGGCTGACCCAGGGGAGCCTGGGAAGGGATGGCCCCTGCACCGAGACATTTCCCAGGACCTCTTCTCAGCCTGGCACCCATAGGAAGACCAGAGGACTCAGGTCTCCTTCTGCGTGCCAGGCAGGGTCACCCTCCAGCAGTCCTGTCCCAGGGGCCTCTTTAGGGCCAGAGCAGCAGCTGAGGAACTCCCTGCTTTATGGCTTCTCATGTTCACCAAAATAGCTCAATAGAATTTTGGGAGAATTCCTCAATGACTGCTCTGGGGTGAAGGTCTCCCAGCATTGTGGCCATGTTCTGTTGTTCAGGAGATTTGGGCTGAGGTATCCAGGATGCATAAAGAGATACCTGCCTTGACAGCTCAGTCTGCAGGAGGGAAACAGAAGCTCAGAAATATTCTAGAGACCCTGAGCAAGTGCCTGGGGGAGCTTTGGTATTCTGGTGGAGATTCTGTGAGTGGAGAAGGGGTCAGGTCATCTTCTCAGAGGGGCTCTGAAGGATGCTCTGAGTTTGACAGCAGATGAGCACCTTGAGAAGAACAGGTGACAGGACATGGTAGAAATGCCCCCAAGTGCGGGATTCTCACTGGGGTCCTGGGGGTGGTGCTGGACCTTCTGAATTGGGCAGGAAGGGAAAGTCTGTCAATCAGTTCTTTTCAACATTTAGATTATTGAACTCCTTAGGGGATCCTCTGAGCTCCTCACCAGAGGGGTCTGTCCATCATTTGCTGCCTGAACACGGGCAGGTTCCTCTCCCTAGCCAAGTCTCAGGGTCACCACTTTAAAAATGAGGAATATAGCAACATGCCTTAGATTCCTCGTGAGGGAGAGCTGAGATCTTGGATGAATGGTACCAGTCCCTGCTGTGCCTTGTGCATGCTCAATCAACAGAGACACTCAGGATCACCTTTGGTGCTGAGCTCACCCTCAGCCTCAGGCTCACAAAGTGAGGGCAGGTGAAGTAGAAGCCGCACTGAGCACGTTTCAGTTTAACTCGATTGCACACATAGCAGGGCATTGATAGTGAGGTCAGAAATGTGGAGAAAGAACATTTACAGAAATATTCCATGATGGAGAACATCCTTCAAAGTACTTCAGTTTTGGAAGCCAGTGGCATCTCCGGGCTGTTTGGGTTTCATATGGAATGGGAGAGAAAGGCCTGGAGGACTTTCTGGAGGCGGGGGACGTTCTTGCTACTTTGTGCCCTAAAATAGCAGAAGAATGACTGTGTGATCCTGCTTAGGATGGGAGCCATCCCTGAACTTAGCAGATCTTTTAACATGAAATAGAGCTTCCAGGTTTTGTTGGGGAAATGTATTGTACATTTGCACACAATACAACCAGATGTGTGCACCGTTCTTAAAGACAGGAAGGCTGAGTTTCTCTCTCTCTTTCTTTCTTTCTTTCTTTCTTTCTTTCTTTCTTTCTTTCTTTCTTTCTTTCTTTCTTTCTTTCTTTCATTTCCTTCCTTCCCTCCCTCCCTCCCTCCTTCCCTCCCTCCCTCCCTCCCTCCCTCCCTCCCTCCCTCCCTTCCTTCCTTCCTCCCTCCCTTCCTTCCTTCCTTCCTCTGGCATCTGCCCCAGCTCACATTCTCAGATTCCATCTTCCCAGGCTGATTTTCCGAGGCGAGCCCATCATTTTTGGGAGTAAACACGCTTTCCCTTGTAGTAGAGGCCAAGACTGTATCTGCCTCCTCTGCCCTCAAAGACAATGTTGTGTTTGAAGAGTCTGCACTGTCTCTTTTGTAATTATTCCCTTTTTAATTTTTAAACTCAATCTAGACAGAGTCTTTCAATCCTTCTGTGGAGATGCCCACAAAATACCCACCATGTTTTATGCTGTCTTGGTTCCTTCCCAGGGTTCTACTAGAACACCCGGTCCCATCCTGCCCAGCCGCCACCTCACTTTGTCATTCTGTCCTGATTTCCTTCAGTGAAGCCTTGACCTTAGTCTTGTGATCAATCACACCCTCCGTGGTCCCCTTTTCAACCTGAACCCACATATGACCTGCCCTGTTATAAAACATAAAACCCAGGTGACCATTGGATAAAGGAGCTTTTTAATCCGTTTTCTTAGGGTGGACATCACTGTCTTTTTAAAGCTGTTTTAACTGTCTTAACGAAACGTTTTGATAATTTCGATGTGGCCACAGATTTTCCCATAAAGATATCATCAGGTTTTGTTTTTTCTTTCTAATGTCAGGAACAGATTAAACCTTCCATGTCTCTATGAAGGTCACATATTAGTCAAACTTCATCAGTGTTTGGGGAATAAATGAATTAATGAGTTTTGGACTTTCACCCTGTTATTTATTCTTTCACTTTCATAAATGCACATCTAATTTAATCAATGAATCAGAAGAAAGTGTAAAACTCAATCAGGACTAACTAGGTGGAACTTCGGAATCTAATCAGGTATCACTTTCTGATTGGAAGCTGGTGATTGAGAAGGGGAGGGTGTGGTTAGAAACATCAATAAAAGCTCCTGAGTTTGCAAAGGAGAGACCCAAAGCCCTGGTGCCTGGAACTACTGCTTGATTCTCTGAGAGATCCCAGCACCCTACAAACTGAGTCCAGATCTGGTAAGTCACCACCTCCTTAGGAACATGCCCATCTGATCTGCAGCCAGCCAGTCAGGGATGGTGACACACAGCCCAAAGTGGCACAGAGAATTTCCTGTCTGTTTTTTCAATTTAACAGATGTAGGTTTTGATTTTTCCTCTAAATATAGTATTCACTTCATCCCTCAAATTTTGATTTCTGCTTCATTTTTCTCATTTCAAAATTCTTATTGAAGCAGTTTTTTAAAAAAGATATTAAAAATTTACAGTTGGATGAATTTTTATGTCTTGACATGTGAAGTTATTTGTTTCTGTGCCCTTCAGCTACAGTTCACACACTTAGTTGTATTGTGATTTTCTCGAGTCTTGTTCTGAACATGGGATTTATCTCTGCCCTTAGACTCTGTCCCTAAGTGGGTGATTGTGAGTATGTAGAAGGGATGAGTATTGGATCCTTCATCTGAGACTTAGTGTTTCCACCCGCACCTTCCAAGTGCTCTAGAATACTGCCACACTGCTTTTATAGTTTCTCTTATAATTTTTCAAAATAAAAACAAGTGGCATTGATTTTAAGGAGTCACTTCAGTCTTCCCCAAGCATGCTAATTGTGTAAACTGAGAATGCAGGCTGTGTGGGGCCACAGGACAGTCATTCTCATTGTTTTTGGGTGGTAAGTAACAAAAAAATTTCCCTCAAAAAGGTGGAGCTTAGCTTTCAGGATCCTGAGTGACAGATCCCAGTAATCCTGAGTTTCAGTGGAGCAATGTATAGAAATTAATGGGCCACTGGCCACCTCGTCCCCTCCTTGGTGTTTGAAAGACATTCTTTGTGGTAGTCACAGGGGCACAGATACAGATTTGTGGCCACCAAGTGCAGAATGGAACTGGGGGGAATTGAGGGCTTTTCCACCTCCACCAGAGCAATGAGATTAGCAATAGGAGAAGATGAGGTGATCATATTTGGCCTGAGAGTGATGCCTTTTCTCTGGATTTGTCCTCTAGAGTTTTCCCTTGCAGATTCATCAAGATGAGCATCAGGGCCCCACCCAGACTCCTGGAGCTGGCAAGGCAGAGGCTGCTGAGGGACCAGGCCTTGGCCATCTCCACCATGGAGGAGCTGCCCAGGGAGCTCTTCCCCACACTGTTCATGGAGGCCTTCAGCAGGAGACGCTGTGAAACCCTGAAAACAATGGTGCAGGCCTGGCCTTTCACCCGCCTCCCTCTAGGGTCCCTGATGAAGTCGCCTCATCTGGAGTCATTAAAATCTGTGCTGGAAGGGGTTGATGTGCTGTTGACCCAAGAGGTTCGCCCCAGGTGAGGTGACCCAGGTGTCCAGGTGGGGAGGGCCCTTTTGTCCAGGGTAGGGACAGCTGTTTCAGGAGGAGGAGGGGCACCATGGAGGCCCAGAGGTTTCTGATGGTGCCAGTGAGGAAGCTCAGGAAGGCCTTGGCCATTGCCCAGCCCCTCTGGGAAAGGACTGCTCACCATGCAGGGTCCACTGAGGAAACAGAAACTTCTCTTCTAGTGGCTCTGAAAGCTACAGGCAATGGGGATGAGGCAAAATCCGGAGGGAAAAGGGGTTGGACAAAATCAGAGAGGGAAAAGTGGCAGAGAGGAGAACAGCTGATGTCTGGGATGTAAATAAAAGCTCAGGTCCTTGCCTTAGTTTGGAGCCTCTCTTCTCCTTTACCCACAGGCAGTCAAAACTTCAAGTGCTGGACTTGAGGAATGTGGATGAGAACTTCTGCGACATATTTTCTGGAGCTACTGCATCCTTCCCGGAGGCTCTGAGTCAGAAGCAAACAGCAGATAACTGTCCAGGGACAGGCAGGCAGCAGCCATTCATGGTGTTCATAGACCTTTGTCTCAAGAACAGGACACTAGATGAATGCCTCACCCACCTCTTAGAGTGGGGCAAGCAGAGAAAAGGCTTACTGCATGTGTGTTGCAAGGAGCTGCAGGTTTTTGGAATGCCCATCCACAGTATCATAGAGGTCCTGAACATGGTGGAGCTTGACTGTATCCAGGAGGTGGAAGTGTGCTGCC
The DNA here is from genome assembly GCF_000001405.40 of Homo sapiens. NCBI lineage: Eukaryota > Metazoa > Chordata > Mammalia > Primates > Hominidae > Homo > Homo sapiens. The sequence continues at coordinate 226,540 of NT_187517.1, read as the reverse complement.
CCTGGGAGCTGTCCACTCTTGTGAAGTTTGCCCCTTACCTGGGCCAGATGAGGAATCTCCGCAAACTTGTTCTCTTCAACATCCGTGCATCTGCCTGCATTCCCCCAGACAACAAGGGGCAGTTCATTGCCCGATTCACCTCTCAGTTCCTCAAGCTGGACTATTTCCAGAATCTGTCTATGCACTCCGTCTCTTTCCTCGAAGGCCACCTGGACCAGCTGCTCAGGTGAGGAAGGATGGTGAGCTTTCTCTTCAGACCACAGCAGAGCCTTTCTTTGTTACAGTAAACACCAGTGGGTATGCACTGTGAGCCTGTGAGGAAGTAAGAGTGAGGGGACACTAGAATATCCATGCATTATCCTGTTGGTGGCTCTGTCCTGATACGGGTATCACACAACCATCCCAATAAAGTCAGAGGGATCTCCTGGGCTAGATGCTATAGAGAAGGTGCCAAGCTAGGAAGCTAGCTACTGCAGGGTTTAGATCTGGCGAGAGTGCATTTGTGAATTCCTCCTGAGGATGTGTGTCTAAGTTAAGATGATGGGAAATAGGGAGGTGAAGAGGGCACTAAAGAGAATGCCCATCCCACTCCTATATTTTAAAATATGAGGTCTATCCTCACCTGCCTAGTGAACAGGCAAAATCCTATGTTTCCCTGTCAGCACCCTGTTTTGAGCTCCAGGTCAGGTAATTAATGTATGGGAAATACATGATGATAGAATAGAGGGTGAGGGAGCAGGAGCAAAGAATGGTAAAAGTGATAGATGGTTTGCTGATGGTACAGGCATGTCAGGGTCTCCTGCAACCTGGCCAACCCAGCTGATGTTGCAGGATCCTGCCTGGGTTTGTCATTTATGCCTGTGTCTCCATCGGGCTCCTGTGGCCCAGAGATGTGGTTTTCTACCTGACAGATGAGGAAAGGGAGACTTAGAGTTCATGGACTTGATCCAATCACCTCGGTGATGGTGAAGGACTGAGCCTCGATTGGGACTGCACTGAAGGAACAGAGTCTCCATTCCCACACCCCAGGTGCTGACTATCCTCAGATGAGCAGAGCAGCCCTGGGTTATGGAGAGCATCATCTCTCACCCTGAAGTCATCCCCACCTCTCTCCTCTAACTCCTTCTTGTTCTCTCCCAGGTGTCTCCAGGCCTCCTTGGAGATGGTCGTTATGACCGACTGCCTGCTGTCAGAGTCGGACTTGAAGCATCTCTCTTGGTGCCCGAGCATCCGTCAATTAAAGGAGCTGGACCTGAGGGGTGTCACGCTGACCCATTTCAGCCCTGAGCCCCTCACAGGTCTGCTGGAGCAAGTTGTGGCCACCCTGCAGACCCTGGACTTAGAGGACTGTGGGATCATGGATTCCCAACTCAGCGCCATCCTGCCTGTCCTGAGCCGCTGCTCCCAGCTCAGCACCTTCAGCTTCTGTGGGAACCTCATCTCCATGGCTGCCCTTGAGAACCTGCTGCGCCACACCGTCGGGCTGAGCAAGCTAAGCCTGGAGCTGTATCCTGCCCCTCTGGAGAGTTATGACACCCAGGGAGCTCTCTGCTGGGGGAGATTTGCTGAACTTGGGGCTGAGCTGATGAACACACTGAGGGACTTAAGGCAGCCCAAGATCATTGTGTTCTGCACCGTCCCCTGCCCTCGCTGTGGCATCAGGGCCTCCTATGACCTGGAGCCCAGTCACTGCCTCTGTTGAATGCCTGCCATCAGGGTGGATATATTTCAAGCTTTCTTCTGGTCATTTCGGAGCTGAAACCTAGGCCATGAGTGCATGTTAAAGGGAGCACAGACCCATCGTTTCAAATGCCTCCTCAGTGTGAATGGGAAAGGAATGAGGATGCAGGAGGGGCAGGACTGGGGGAAAAGTTGACTTGGAGTGGATGGGCTCTTTAGAGACCTGTGTCCCAGAGAATCAGAAATGGGAATCTGAATTGCTAGAGTGAGAATCAGGGAGGAGAGACACATGAGAGGGTTACCCCTGCACAGATGGTTGTAAAGTAACAGTCAGAAATAAAGGGAAACTGAGTGGAAACTATCTGGTGTCCTCCGTAATTGCTTAACATGGCTTAACAATTAAACAATTTAAACCTAAAAAAGTCCAGTTACTGATCGAGCTAATAAGGCACTGATTTGTCTGTGACTGATGAGGTTCAGCTCCTGGAAATCAAACCATCAAAATGGAATTTGATCATTTAGATCAATCCCCCTCCTGTTACCTTCTTGCTATTCTCTGTGCCTATTTAGTGGCACATGAGAGACGCACACAGGGCCTGAAGCATTCTAAGTGCAAAGTGAGTGTCAGCCACTTAAGTTAAGCCCCTTCAGGTGCCCTCATTCTGTCCTGATGCCGAGACCCTGTTCACTCTCAATGGGTGGATTCAGAGCTCTCAGTTCCTGACCGTTACCTGTGCTGGGAAAGGACTTCACTGCCCAAGGCGTGGCCCTGCCCTGGAAGGGGAGCTCCACACTGTATGAGCAGGAGCCTCAGGGCATCACTAACCCATGCCTGTCATGGTGGGTAGCGGCCCTTGCTGAATTAAAGTAGTTGTGGCCAATAAAGACATCCAAATTCCCTTTCAGCAAAATGCTGACATTATGTAGGCATATAATACCTGTAACATCAATGAAAGACCTTTTCTTAACTCCTCCTTTTTCTCCCTGTGAAGGAAGACTAGTGCATGGTAGTAGGAATCACACATCCTTAGAGGGTGGATAATGATCAAGTGCCTGTGGGTAATTAATGACCACACCTGTGCTGAAGGACCCTACACAAAGGGCACCTAAGTGTAGAACCCTGCCGAGGACTCAGGGGCTGGTGCTATTGGGCACGAAACAGCCAAGAGGCTCAGCTTCCCTGTAAAATGAAGATGATGATGCCACCACCCTATGAGACTATCGTAGGACCCAATGAGATGGTGTATGGTCAGGACTTGGAATGGGGCGTGGCATACAGTAAGAGCTCAATACATGCATCTTGTTCTTTTTTTTTTTCCCCCTCCTAATAGAAGTCCCAGCATTCTTCACCCTTCAATCTCACCTTCTATTCCTGATAATAGGGAGGCAGCAGAAACCCACGGCAGGCAATGGGACTCAACTTCTACACACCACCACCACTTAATCGTGATTCCCCCAAACAGCAGAGCCTCAGCAGCCAGCAGAGGTTGGGATGGGTGGGGCAGGACTGAGTTCATCTCTAGTGATCATGAGATAAAAATTTCCAACCCATGAGACTCATGTGCCATCTGCTGGTTGGTCAGACCATCTGGTGTAATTTATTGATGCAAACAGGATGATATTGAGTGGTATCTCCAAAAATCTGCTGTTATGTAAGTGTTTATAGAGAATAAATATTGTGATTCATATATAATTTTATACATATTGAATACATATTTTTACATAAATTTACGTACATAATTTTATACATATTGAATATATATAATTTTATACATATTGAATATATGTATATTGAAATTTTAAATTATAATGGGAATTTAGTATTTTAAAGTATGTAGTGCAATATTTTAAAAAGGTTTGTAGGCTGGGCACAGTGGCTCACGACTGTAATCCCAGCACTTTGGGAGGCCGAGATGGGTGGATCACGAGGTCAGGAGATGGAGACCATCCTGGCTAACATGATGAAACCCCGTCTCTACTAAAAATACAACAAATTAGCCGGGCATGGTGACAGGCACCTGTAGTCCCAGCTACTCAGAAAGCTGGGGTAGCAGAATGGCATGAACCCAGGAGGCAGAGCTTGCAGTGAGCCGAGAGCGTGCCACTGCACCCCAGCCTGGGGGACAGAGTGAGATCCGTCTCAAAAAAAAAGAAAATGTTTGTGTTGGCCTGGGCAGCACGTATACTAAAGTTGGAATGACACAGAGAAGATTAGCATGGCCCCTGCGCAAGGATGATGTGCAAATTCGTGACAAGTTCCATATTTTTCAGGAAACAACAGATGCTGGAGAGAATGTGGAGAAATTAGGCATGCTTTGACAGTGTTGGTGGGAGTGTAAATTAGTTCTAGCATTGTGGAAGACAGTGTGGTGATTCCTCAAGGATCTAGAACTGGAAATATCATTTGACCCAGCAATCCCATTACTGGGTATATACCCAAAGGATTATAAATCATTCTACTATAAAGACAAATGCACACGTATGTTTAGTGTGGCACTGTTCTTAATAGCAAAGACTTGGAAACAAACCAAAAGCTCTTCAGTGATAGACTAGATAAAGAAAATATGGCACATATACACCATTCAATACTATGCAGCCATAAAAAATGATGAGTTCAGGTCATTTTCAGGGACATGGATGAAGCTGGAAATCATCATTCTCAGCAAACTAACACAGGAACAGAAAAGCAAATACCACATGTTTTCAGTCATAAGTGGGAGTTGAACAATGCGAACACATGGATACAGGGAACATCACACACTGGGGCCTGTTGGGGGGTAGGGATGGTGGGGGAGGGTTAGCATTAGGATAAATACCTAGTGTAGATGATGGCTTGATATGTGCAGCAAACCACCATGGCATATGTATCCCTATGTAACAAACCTGCACGTTCTGCACATGTGTCCCAGAACTTGAAGTATATTTAGAAAATGCTTAATGTGGTGTTGAGTCTCAAATAAAATGACACCTTCAAAACTGATTTTGAAGATCAATGAATAAGAATTGCTCTTATTTAAAAATATTTAAGTTTATACAATTTTGGAGCTGGAAGGAAGTGCAATATTTTTAGGGATATATGATTTATTTTCTTAGAGCAGTTATAAGGTTGCAGTGAAGTTGAGCAGAAAGTGGATCATTCCCACATACTTCATGACCCCACTCTAGCGCGGACTCCTAAAGGATCAACGTCCTGCCCCAGCGTGGTCCATTTGCTCCAATGCATGAACCACACGAACCATCCTTATCACCCAAAGTTCATAATTAACATTAAGGGTTCACATCTGGTGCTGTATATTCTATGAGTTCTGATGAATTGAGGATGACATGTATTCACCCTTATAGCATCATGCAGAGTAGCTTCAGTGCCCTAAAAAAATCACCTGTTCTCTTTCTATCCATCCCACTCTACCCTGACTCCTTGCAACCCCTGGGCTTTCTACTGTGTCCATAGATTTGCCTTTTCCAGAATGTCATGTGGCCTTTTCATGTTGGCTTCTTTCACTTGGTTATGTGCATTTAAGTTTTTTTTATGTCTTTTAGGGCTTAATAATTTACACTGTCAGGATGTGCTACAGTTTATTCATCCATTTATCTGCTGAAGAATATATTGGTCCCTATTAAGTTTTGTCTATTATGAATGTAGTGGTTAAAAACATCCAGGTTTTAGGTTTTCTCATTTGGGTAAATGCCAAGGAGCGTGGCTGCTGGACCATGTGCCTAGGTTGTGTTTGATAATGATTTTTTCCTTGACAATCTCATGTAGACAGAGACTGCTTCTTCAAGGGCAGGGACTGTGTCTCTGTCACCCTGTGGTCCCACAGCAGAGCATGGAACCTGGCAGGTGGCTGTAAATGCTTATTGATCACATAGTGCTCAGAAATCACTTTATAGCCACTACAATGCAAATGTCGGGCAGTCAACATGAGCTGCCACCAATAATATAAACACGTTGAATATGGATGAAGTCACCCTCCTTTTGCCGGGGTCACTACCTGTGTGTCACGGCAGTGCCGTCATCACATGGATGAACTTCATCTGTTTTTTATAGATTTCCCCCCATGTAATACAGGACACAGTCTTTAAACAAAGAGTCACCGGAGTTCCTGATGGCCACTGGTCTGAGTCTGTCCCTTTGGAACTAAGGGCCCTCATAACTGCACTTACCTACCACAGGCGTCCCTGTAAGCACCACTAGAGGGCGAGCATCTTCACCAAACCTGATGGACCCAAGAAGTCTGACCTGAATGTCTCCCTGCTAGGCAGGGGTCCTCAGAGGAATCTTCTATCCAGTCCAGATGGAGGGAACTGGAAGAGTCTCCTCAAACCCAGGACCAACAAAGAGATTCCCTCCAAGATCCCAATTAGGGAGCCAGGACAGGGACTGAGAGGGAACAGGGAAGGGAAGGCACCATGGGTCCCAAAACCTGGAACTGATGGAGAAGGTCCCCTCCAGAAACTGTTTGGAGAGAACCAGCTGGGAAGAATTAAAGTCTCTGAGATCTTCCACCTAAGAGCTGGACATCTGAATTCAGGAAGACTTACCCGAGGCCTTCCCATGGCGCAATCGAGAAGAGCTCACGGGACTCTTGCCAGTGCAGGATGCATTGGTTCTGGAGGCATCAGGAAGAGATCGGAGGTCCCCTTTGAATCCCACTTCTAACACCAGTGAGGTCCACTAAAAATTATGGGGTCTATAGATTTAGAAAAAAGGAGCGTAATTTCTTCTAAAGGTTTACAACCTGCTCGCTGGGAAATGGGCCTCCAGGCAGGACCTGAGGCAAGCGCTTGGAGGGAGGGAAAGTGACCCAGGAATCTATGCTGAACCTGTTGGCCACCAAGTGTGCATATTCAGCAGGTCATTGGAGCAGCTATGAAAATTCACAGGGTGGGGGATGCATGCATGTATGGTAAGCAAATATACATGTCACATACATCCCAGGTTCACCTGGTGGTTGAGGCTTTACATTTAAATGCATTATAATTAGGTTCTCTGCATCCAAAGGAGAAGTTGGGACATGAAGGTCCGCAATTCCTAACTAAAGGGCCTGGGGAGTCACCTTCTACAAATCACAAAGTCCCCTCAGAGGGGGTTTATTTAACCCTATATAAAGTGGCTTAAGGCTGAGTGCAGTGGTTCACGCCTGTAATCCCAGCACTTTGGGAGGCCAAGGTGGGCAGATCACTTGAGGTCAGAAGTTGGAGACCAGCCTGACCAACTTGGAGAAACACCATCTCCACTAAAAATACAAAATTACCTGGGCATGGTGGTATATGTCTGTAATCCCAGCTACTCGGGAGGCTGAAGCAGGAGAATCGCTTGAACGCAGGAGACGGAGGTTGCGGTGAGCTGAGATCACACCATTGCACTGCAACCGGGGCAACAAGAGCAAAACTCGGTCTCAAAATCCATAAATAAATAAATAAATAAATAAATACATACATACATACAATAAAGCGGCTTGTTTTCCAGCCTGACTCAGGGTAGCCCAGAGTCTTCTGATGGTGCTGGTGAGGAAGCTCAAGGAGGCTTTGGCCATTGTCCAGATCCTCAGAGAAAGGACTGCTCACCATACAGGGTCCACTGTGGGAACAGAAACCTGCTTTTTCCCAGTGGAAGGTAAAGGGACTAGAAGTGGGGAGCAGTATGAATCAAAAGAGAAAACGGACTGAGAAAAGTCAGAGAGAGAACAGGGAGCAATGAGAATGAAAGCAAAAGTCAGGGATGGGTCCTTCTAAATTCTGAGCTTCTCCCTTACTTTACCTATAGGAGGTGGAAACTTCAAGTGCTGGACTTGCTGGATGTTGATGAGAATGTCTGGGCTGGATGGCCTGGAGGCTAGGCCCTGTCCTCCTCCCCAGAGGCCATGAGTAAGAGGCAGACAGCAGAGGACTATCCAAGGATGGGAGAGCACCAGCCCTTAAAGGTGTTCATAGACGTCTGCCTCAAGGAAACACCCCAAGATGAATGCCTGAGATACCTCTTCCAGTGGGTTTACCAAAGGAGAGTTTTAGTACACCTGTGCTGTAGTAAGTTGGTGAATTATCTAACACCCATTAAATATCTTAGAAAGTCATTGAAAATAGTCCACCTGAATAGTATTCAGGAGTTGGAAATTCACAACATGTCCTGGCTGCATCTGATAAGAAAGCTTCATTGTTACCTGAAGGAGATGAAGAATCTTCGCAAACTCGTTTTCTCCAGGTGCCATCATTACTCTTCGGACAATGACCTCGAGGAATGGTTACTCACCAAATTCAGCCTGTGTTCCTCAGGCTGGAACACCTCCAATTGCTTAAAGTAAAATTGATCACCTTCTTCAGTGGGCACCTGGAACAGCTGATCAGGTGAGAAAGGATCGTGCACTTTCTCTGAAGACCACAGCACAGCCTTTTTTTGTTACAGCAAACGCTAGAAGGCATAACTTTTGTGTCAGCCAGTGGTGACATCACAGTGAAGGGGACACCAGAATATCAACACATTGTCCCATTCAGTGCTCCATGTTCCGGAGTGGCTATCACAGGATCTCTGCAATGAGGGCAGCGGGGTCACCTGGGGTAGAGGCTAGAGAGCTACATCATGTACAAGCCAGGTAGTGGGGGTTTCAGCTCTACTGGGGGGTGCATATGTGAATTTCTTGTTACAAAGTGTGTTTCAAGTTGATATGATAGGAAAGAGGTAATAGAGGAGGGTATGAAAGGAGGGACAGCGCATCAAACCTGTGCATTTCACAGTAGAAACTCTGTCCTCACCAGCTTAGTGATCACAAATGATCCTGTCTCTATTCCCTGTCTGTAAAAGGTTGTTTTGAACCCCAGGAAAGGTAACTGACATGGGAAATGTGTGCTTCTTGAATGGAGGCTGAGGGAGTAGGCGTGAGAGTGGTAAAAAGTGATAGGTGGTTTGCAGATGCAGGCACGTCAGGGAGCCCCTGCCAGTAGGTAGCCCTAGCTGATGACCCTAGACCTTGCTCAGTTGAGTTCTTCATGCACATCTCCCACCGGGTACCTGTGGCCCAGAGATGAAGTTTTCTGCTAAAAGATGAAGAAAAGAGGCTTTAGTGATGTGATTTTGTGGCCTTGAACCAATCACACAAGCAATGGTGAAAGGATTGAGGCTAAACTAGGACTGCCCCTGAATGATCAGAGTCCTCATCACAGAGCAACTTGCATGTGGACCATCATCACATGATGGGAATAAACTTGTGTTTGGGTGAAGCAGACATTTCCCTTTCAGTTATTCCCCACCACCTTCATCTAACTGGTATCACTGCCCAGAACTAACTTCTTGATCTCCACAGGTGCCTCCAGAACCCCTTGGAGAACTTGGAGTTAACTTGTGGCTACCTATTGGAAGAGGACATGAAGTGTCTGTCTCAGTACCCAAGCCTCAGCTACCTAAAGCATCTGAATCTCAGCTACGTGCTGCTGTTCCGCATCAGTCTTGAACCCCTCGGAGCTCTGCTAGAGAAAATTGCTGCCACTCTCAAGACCCTCATCTTCGAGGGCTGTCAGATCCACTACTGCCAACTCAGCGCCATCCTGCCTGGCCTGAGCCGCTGCTCCCAGCTCACCACCTTCTACTTTGGCAGAAATTGCATGTCTACGGACACCCTGAAGGACCTGCTGCGCCACACCAGTGGGCTGAGCAAGTTAAGCCTGGAGACGTATCCTGCCCCTGAGGAGAGTTTGAATTCCTTGGTTCGTGTCGATTGGGAGATCTTCGCCCCACTTCGGGCTGAGCTGATGTGTACACTGAGGGAAGTCAGGCAGCCCAAGAGGATCTTCACTGGTCCCACTCCCTGCCCTTCCTGTGGCTCATCACCGTCTGAGGAACTGGAGCTCCATCTTTGCTGCTAGGGAAGGCGTGCCTAGTGGGGTTGATAAATCCAAAGTTCTCTTCCAGGCACTTGGACACTAAAATCTAGTATGTAAGTGCAAGTTATGTTTGTTTTTTCTTATTTCCTTTTTTAATAATTCTAAAATTTTATTAAAGAACATTTGAGACAGGGTTTCGCTGTGTTGCCCCAGCTGGTCTGAAACTGCTGGGCACATGGGATTCTCCTGCCTTGGCCTCCTAAAGTGCCAGGATTACTGGCATGAGTGATTGTGACCAGGCCACATGCAACTTACAGGAAGCACAGAATTCTTTGCTTCAGGCAGGTGCTCAGTATGAGGGAAAAAAGATAACAGCAGGGGGCAAGACTGGAGGAAAATGTGGAGGTGGAGTCAATGAGACCTTACGGGACCCATGTCCTACAGAGTCAGAAAGAGAAGCTAAAGTTCTACAGTGATGAGAATGTTATCCCTGCAGGGACGGTTACCAAGAAATATCAGAAATAACCTCAATGAAAACTTTCTGGTGTCCTCTGTATTTGATTGACTTGTTTTAGCGATTTATACATCAGAAATCTCTAGTTATTGAGTTACTGATGGAAAAGTATCAAAGTACTCTGTTGTCTGTGATTGAGATTCAGCTGCAAAACATCTAATTCCCACCCATTCTTTTTCTTTGCTTTTTTTTAAAAAAAAAAAAAAAAAAAAAAAAAAAAAGACAACATCTTGCTTTGTCACCCAGGCTGCAGTGCAGTGGTCCCGTCTGGGCTCACTGCAATCCTACCCTTCGGGGCTCAAGTGATTCTCATGCCTCAGCCACTCTAGTAGGTGGAATTGCATGCAAGTGCCACCAAGCCTGCTAGTTTTTGTATTTTTAGTAGAGACGCGGTTTTTCCATGTTGACCAGGCTGGTCTTGAGCTCCTGGCTTCAGTGATCTGCTGACCTTGGCCTCCCAATGTGCTGGGATTACGGGTGTGCCAATGATCTCCACCCATTCTTTACTTCTCTTCAGTCATCTGTTTTTTCCTTACATTTTCGCCTGCAAGGAGCAGCTCAGTCAGGCACAAAGGGACGGGCAGAGAGGGGCCCCGAGGAGAAGATGGGCTTGAGGTGGTAGGCAGAGCTGGGATCAAGCTACAGGGGCCTTTGTTGGGAAGCAGAAATGGCACCTAGTTCAATGACCTGGCCAGCTATGGGGCCACTGTGCCCACCCTGCTAACAGTGCCAAGTTCCTGGGTGTCGAAGGGAGGTTCTGTGCTAATCCTCCTGGGGCTGCATTTCCAAGATCTGCCCCCCACAGGGGTGACCACAGAGACTGACGTTCCTAATTGCTGGGTCTGGGGACCACGGTCCACTCCTGGAGGCACCCCACCTTGGCAGGGTTGTGAGCCAGGCCTCTGCCCCGTGTTCCTGAGGCAGACAGCTGTGCCACCCACACCCTCTCATGGCTTAATGAGACCCGCTCCCGGGTCTGGAGCCTCTACAAAGCCTCAAACTCACTCCTCACGGCCTGCTGTTAGCCTGCAATATTCTTAACTAGAGTGCAGTTGGGGCTCATTCAACCAGACCCAGAAGCATTGGGTTTGTTTTTGCAGGGTTGGCCAGAGCTGCTGTGAACCTGCATCTCACCTGTCACCTCTGTGGAGAAACACAGAGAGAGGGCATAACTGAGGCTACATACACTTTGAACCTGATGGGATCCTGGGACAAGAGGGAGTCCTGGCCCTCCCGAGTTGGCAGGACAGTAGCTCCAAAGGCACAACTGAAGCTGCCCAGGTCGCAGTTCCAACCAAGGTCCCCCAGTGCTCTTGAGGGCTCAGGAGGTCTCCCCTTCTCCTGCAGCATGGGGGTGTCTGCTCCCACTGTGTGGTCCCTCCTGGCACCTGCTGTAATTTTGGAGCGGAGTTGGGGTCAAGCATGTATGCTGTGGCAGCCCAGATGAGCGTGTGCATGCTCAGGTTCGTGCTGATGCACCGTCTGCCTGCTGTCTTGAACACTCTGGGCTTTGGGCCCTGATGAGCATGGGAGGGAGGCTGAGAGGGGGCTGAGGACAGATCAGTGCTGGCCTTTGGATGCTCCTTGATGCAAGTGACCTGGGCGCCATGGGTGGTGGTGGGAGGCAGACAGACTCCTGGATGGGAAGACGAGGGTACCTGGTGAGGCTCTACCTTGTGACCAAGGGGGGCCTGAAGCCCGTGGGCTGGTCCACCAGTGCTATGGACCAGAGTGGGAATATGTGGTGCCTTTTCTGTGCCTGCCAATGGCTACCTATGACCCAAGCAGCACATACTTCCTTCCCCATGATGCCCCAACAGCCCCAGACTCAGGGAAAACATCAGGATGAACAGTGGCAGAGTGAAACTACCCACTCTTGGGATGATTTTCCTGCAGACAAGCAATCCACTCTGGGGCCTTTTCTCTACTGAGAGCTGTGGAGATGATGAGATGACTTTCCTGGAAAGAGCAGCAGACACCACTGTGTACTCCAGGGACAAACATGGAAGCTGCTTTTGCTGTGCCTGGTTCATTTGCAGCCTTGCAAAAATCTGGCACCTGTGCTGGCACCTGGAGCTGCCTGCCCCACTGCTGCGGGAGCCAGTGACTGTCCAAAGTGACCAGACCCCCTGCTCACTCACACACCCCTCACTGCTCCAGTCCTGACCCTCCCTTAATAGGCATGTGATCCAGGCCTGAAGCATGAGCCAAGCATAGTCTACCAGTCTGAGTGGGCAGAACAAACCCAGTGAACCCCATCAAAACTCCGGCAAAGGTGCCCCCAGCCATAGAGGCTTCTGGCCAGAAAAGTCACATCCCAAGGATTTCATAAGGGAAAATTACTTAAACACAAAGAAAGACAATAAGAAAGGAAGGATGGAAGAGAGAAGTCTCTAACCAACCAGAAAACAAGAAATTAAATGGGAGTACTAAGCCTTTATCAATAACAACAATGAAGACAATATATCTCAGTTCTGCAAGTGAAAGTCTTAGGGTCGTTGAATGAGTAAAAGAATAAGACCATACTATATGCTGTTTTCCAGAAACTCACTTCACCTATAAGGACACATGTAGTCTGAAAGTGAAGGGGTAGAAAAAGATATTCCATGCAACACACCTGTGTTTCCAGCTAACTGGCAGACTGACATGGGAGGATCATTTCAGCCTGAGAGGCCGAGGCTGCACTGAGCCGAGATTGCACCACTGCACGCCAGCCTTAGAAACAGAGTAAGGCTCTGTCTTTCAAAAGAAGAAGAAAGAAAAGAAAAGCAAAGAAGATGTCTCTTCACATTTTATGCTGCACAGGCATTTTTTTTCTGATCTGCACTGCACTGCCAAGCCAGGTGTATTCTGTTGAGCTCACTTTGCAGCTGCCTTGCTTCTTGTTTATCCTAAGTAGCACCCAGAATAGTAGGTGGCACATTGCAGGCACTCATTCAAAGGTTTTTTTTTTTTGTTTCACATTTTTTTGTCTGTTTGTTTTGTTTGTTTGTTTGTTTTTGAGACAGAGTTTCACTCTTGTTGCCCACCCAGGCTGGAGTGCAATGGCGTGATCTCAGCTCACTGCAACCTCTGCTTCCCGGGTTCAAGCAATTCTCCTGCCACCACACCCGACCAATAGGAAGGGGAGGCACTGGATGTTAATAGTGTCAAATGTGCCAAAATCTTCTCTGTGGTTTTTCCCCAGAGTCTCCCCCTCCAGGGCCACCTGAAAATCCTCAGCCCTGGACAATGCAAGATTTTTTTTGACTGAGGATCACTGTGCTCCTTCTAGATCCATCAGAAAGTGCCAGGCAGTCTGATAGGTCCTGGTTTGACTTACATCTAGCAAGACCTTCACCTGGTTGGCAGGAGTAGATATGGGGGTCACTTGGATGACAGGGACTCCAGTCCAGACCCCATTCTACCTCATTCCCTCCTGCAAAGTTCAATCCTCACAGTCCTATGAGGCTGTGGCAAGTGCAGAGACAGAACTGCACCATATCCAACGTGCCTCCCTTCCCCTGGCCTCACACCAAGTCTCCCTCCCTCTGACATGTCCCTTGTCTTTGCATCCAGGGTGGATGTTTGCCATTGACTCTCTCTCCCCATGTCTCCCTGCTAGACTGACTCTTTGCCCCTGGGGTGAGATGGGGCAGCCACTGGAACCTCATGTAGACCAGGGTGAAATCAAAGGGCCTTAGAAACTCACAGCTCCACATCCAGGCACAGGTCCTTTGAGGATCTCAGACACAAGTCCACAGCTTATCAGGGACGCGGCTCTGTGAAAGCCAAATAACCCGGCCCCCTACCCTGCTGCCATCTCTCTCCTCTGTACTTACTCTGGCCCACATCAGCTCCTCTGGGCCACTCCCTTTCTGGGCCCTGTTCTTTTCCTTAGTCCTCCTGGCTCCATCCAGCCTGCAGCGAGTTCCCAGACCTCCCCCACCCCAGGCTGCCACAAGCACCTTCTTAGGCATCTACTCTGCTTTCAGAGTGAGCTTCTCCTCAGATCTTTATTGGGGAAAAAAGGAGGGGCAGCCCCTGATCTTGGAAAAGACGGTCACAAATGCGACCTGGAATGAGATCCTGTTGAGGACTAAAGAAGTCCAGCAGGGCCTGAACAGTGATTTCTACTGTTAGAAACATGGAGAGGGCAAACACCATGGGCAAAGAAAGCCCTGACTCAGAAACAGACTCACTGCATTCCAGGTGCAGCCTCGTCAGCTCTAAGACTGGGCAAGGGGATCCTAGAAGGGATGGCCCCCTGCACTGGGACCTGTCCCAGGCTCTGCCAACAGCCTGGCACTTCTAGGAAAACCAGAGGAGTCAGCTCTTCCTGTGGAAGGCAGACAAACTTCCCCTCCATTGGTCCTGGGTGCCTCTTTAGGTCCGGAAGAGCAGCTGAGGAGCTCCCTGCTTTGTGCCTTGCTATGTGCACCCAAAAAGCTCAGTAGAATTTGGGGAGAATGTATGAGTCACTGCTGATTCCAGGGAGAGTGTCTCTTAGCATTGTTTGTGGCCATAGTCCTCGGTGCAGGAGAGATCGGCTGACATTTCCAGGAAGCAGAGGATTCAGCTTCTCTCACAGCTCAGGCTGGGGGAGGAAAACAGAAATTCAGAAATATTTTAGAGACCCCCATCAAAAGCCTGGAGAAGCTTTGGAATCCCAGTAGAAATTCTGTGAGTGGAATTGAAGTCAGGCCGTCCCTTCAGATGGGCTCTGAAAGCTACTCTGACCTGGACAGCAGAGGAGCACCTTCAGAAGCACAGGCAACCAGAACATGGTAGAAAGACCCCCGAAACTGCAGGATTCTCACTGGGGTCCTGAGGATGGTGCAGGATTCCCCCAAGAGGTTCATTTTTCTCCCAAATTCTTCAGATACACAGCTTGCACCATTCATGCTTCCAGATTGAAAAGTCTCCCTCCTTATGTCTGACCACACTGCTCCTCTCTGGGCTCTGCCCCAGCTCACACACTCAGATTCACTCTTCCCAAGCTGGTATTCTGAGGGAAGCCCATCCTGTTTGTGAGTAATGATGCTTCACCTTCCAGTAGGAGTCAAGATTGTGTCTGCCCTCTCTGCCCTCAAAGACACTGTGATGTTTTACGAGTCTGCATTATCTCTTTTGTAATTAGGTTTTTTTAATTTTTAAACTCAATGTAGAAGGAAGTCTTTCAATCCTTTTGTCTAGATGCCCACAAAATACCTGCCATGTTTTATGTTGTCTTGGTTCCCTCCTAGGGTCCCATTAGAACAGTCAGTACTGTCCAGCCCAACCTCCACCTCACTTTGTAATTTAGGCCTGATTTCTTTCAGTGATGCCTTGACCTTAACCTTGAGATAAATTACACCCTCAGTAGTTCCTGTCTTCCACCTGAATGGGCATATGATCTACCATGTTAGGTAGCGCAAAACCCAGGTGACCAGTGGATACACTGAGATTTTTATTGTGTTTTTAGGGATGACATCACTGTCTTCTTAAAGCTGTTTTAACTCTGAAAAGTTTTGATACTTTTGATGTGGCCAAAGGTTCTCCAATAAAGATACCATATATAAATATATGTATTTCTAATGTCTGAAACAGATTAAAACCTTCCCTGTATCACTATGAAGGTCACATATTGGTAAAACTTTACCAATATTTATGGAATAAGTGAATAAATGAGTTTTAGTCCTTCACCCTATTATTAATTCTTTCACTTTCATAAATCCATATCTAATTTAATCACTTAATAAGAAGAAAGTTGAAAACTCAATCACCGTTAACTGGGTGGAAGTTCAGGATCCAGTTGGATGTCATTTTTGGATTGGAAGTTGGTAATTGAGAAGGGGGTTGTGGTGAGAAAAGTCAATAAAACTCCTGAAGATGCACAGAAGAGACCCAAAGCCCTGGCTCCTGGAGCTACTGCTTGATTCTCAGAGAGGTCCCAGCACCCTGCAAAGTGAGTCCAGATCTGGCAAGTCACCACTTATTAGGGATGTGCCCGTTTGATCTGATGTTCTGTATAGCATGTCACACAAAAGTCTGGAAGACACTAGCACATACACTGTGAAGAGAAGTCTCAAAAAAAGGGAAGGTTATAGAAGACACTTGCTCTGTGTTTTTGGAATGTTTTGCATTGAGAATTCTGTCCAGAGAAGGGAAAAAGAATGAAAAACAAAGGAAGCTCACCCAAATGTACCTCTATGTACCTTTTACCATGCTGGACTTTCTTTTGTTTTGTTTTCTTTTCTCTCTCTCTCTTTTTTTTTTTTTTTTTTTTTTTGATATGGCATCTCGCTCTGTTGCCCAGGCTGGAGTGCAGTGGCATGATCTTTGATCACTGTAACCTCCACCTCCTGGGTTCAAGCAATTCTCCTCCCTCGGCCTCCCCAGTAGTTGGGATGATACTTGCCACCACGCCCAGTTAATTTTTGTATTTGTTTTTATTATACTTTAAGTTTTAGGGTACATGTGCACAATGTGCAGGTTAGTTACACATGTATACATGTGCCATGTTGGTGTGCTGCACCCAGTAACTTGTCATTTAACATTAGGTATATCTCCAAATGCTATCCCTCCCCACTCCCCACACAACAGGCCCCAGTGTGTGATGTTCCTCTTCCTGTGTCCATGTGTTCTCATTGTTCAATTCCCATCCTATCACAAGGACAAAAAAACAAACACCGCATGTTCTCACTCATAGGTGGGAATTTTTGTGTTTTTAATAGATACAGAGTTTCACCGTGTTGCCCAGACTGGTCTCGAACTCCTGACCTGAAGTGATCCATGCGCCTCAGTCTCCCAAAGTGCTGGGATTACAGACGTGAGCCACCACACCGGGCCAATTGCTGGACTCTCATGTCACACATGGATATGGTATCACAAAGGCAATTTTTTCCATAATCCAATGTATTTATATTATTGGTAGTGAGCTAATGTTGACGTCCCTAAGTTAGCAATTCAGTGGCTATACCCATGACAAACGTTTCCATGCATCACGTGGTCAACAGCATTTGCTCCTGGGTTCAAGAGATTCTCTTGCCTCAGCCTCCTGACTATCTGGGATTACAGGGGCCCGTCACCACACCAGGCTAATTTTTTGTATTTTTAGTAGGGACGGGTTTTTACCACATTGGCCAGGCTGCTCTCAAATTCCTGACCTCGTGATCTGCCTGCCTCGGCCTCCCAAAGTGCTGGGATTACAGGCGTGAGCCACCACGCCTGGCCATTAACCATTCTTAAAATATCACATTGCATTCTTTAAAAGTTTTATATCTTTCATATACATAAATTACAACACAAATATTTATACTCAACTAGTATTCACATTATAGTAAATTTTCTTTTCTTGCTCTGTTGCCCAGGCTGGAGTGCAGTGGTGCGATCTCAGCTCACTGCAACCTTCGCCTCCCGGGTTCAAGTGATTGTCCTGCCTCAGTCTCCTGAATACCTGGGATTACAGGCGAATGCCACCACGCCCAGCAATTTTTTTTGTATTTTGAGTAGAGACGGGGTTTCACCATGTTGGCCAGGCTGGTCTCAAAATCCTGACCTGAAGTGATCTGCCCGCCTCAGCCTCCCAAAATGCTGGGATTACAGGTGTGAGACACCAAGCCTGGCCATGACAATGGCCTCAGCCTCCCAAAGTGCTGGGATTACAGACACGAGCCACCGCTCCTGGCTCATAATAGTAAATTTAAAAAAATACCATATAATATAATCCTTGCAACATTAAATTACACCATCTGATCTGATCTACCAGCAGATGGCACCCGAGACCTATGGATTGGACATTTTACTCTTCTTAGGAATGAATCCAGTCCAGAAATGCCCACCCTGCCCCCTGCTGGCTCCTGGGGCTCTGCTGTTTGGGGGAGTCATGATGAAGTTGTGGCAGAGGGTAGAAGATGAGCCCCATTGCATGCCCTGGGTTCTTGTTGCCTCCCTGTTATCAGGAATAGGAGGTGAGATAGATTGAAAGATGAAAATTGCTGGGACTTCTGCTGAGAAGAGAAAAAAGAACAAGATGTATTCATCTAACTGTATGCCAGTCCCCATGCCAAGCCCTAAACATGAACCATCTTATTGGATCCTTGCAGGGTCCTATAAGCCGTTGGACATCATCCTCATTTTACAGGGACCTGAGGCTCTTGGTTAAGATCCCTGACAGCAATACCAGCCCCTGAATCCTCAGCAGGATCCTTCACTTGGGTGCCCATTATGCAGGCTTCCTCAGCACAGGGAAGGTCACTCATCACCCACAGGCACTTGATTGTTATCCACCCTTTGATCATGTGAGATTCCAGAACACGCTGCACTGGTCTCTTCCTTGATAGGGAGAGAGGGGAGGTGTTATGAGAAAATCTCTCATCGATCTGACCTAGCTCCCTAATAAGAAGTAACTTTTTAAATGTCAGATGGAAATATTTAAAAAGTGTTACATACCTGTGTAGTTTTAGTATTTTACTTAAAGGGAATGTGGCTGTCTTTACTGGCTACAACCAGTTTAATTCAAGAAGGGCTGCTGGTCATCAGGAGAACAAGCAAGGGTTGGTGCTGCCCAGAGTCTCCAGCTAATACACAATATGGACATCCCCTTCCAGGGCAGCGGGAAGAGAGTGGCTCCTTGTGCAGTGAAGCTGACATCCACCAACTAAGGCTTCTGGAACCATGTGGAGACTCACAAGGAGTGGGCAGGGTCTCAGCATCTGGCTAGCAGTGAAAGACCCTGAGAAGAAGGTGCTTTCCACGTGGATTGGCTCACTGTTCTTGCCCAGTAATGTTCCAGACCCTTGGTTTCCACCTAGTGTGTATTAACCCACTGAACAGCCACAGAAACTAACAAGGAATTAACAGACATCTAAAGAAGTGAAGAACTGGAGGAGGCCAAGCCAATCGTGGTGGTCCACGCCTATACTCCCTGCATTTTGGGAGGCCAAGGCAGGAGAATCACAAGCTCAGGAGTTCCAGATCAGCCTGGGCAAGACAGCGAGACCTTGTCACCACTTAAAAAAACAAGCAAACAGGCATGGTTGCTCACACGCCTGTAGTCCTAGCTCCTCAGGAGGCTGAGGTGGGAGGATCGCTTGAACCCAGGAAATTGAGGCTGCAGTGAGCTATGATTGTGCCGCTGCACTCTAGCCTGAGTGACAGGAGACCTTTAAAAAACAAAAACAAAAACAAGCCTGACACAGTGGCTCACGCCTGTAATCCCAGCACTTTGGTAGGCCTACTTGCGTGGATCACCCAAAGTCAGGAGTTTGAGAACAGTCTGACCAACATAGTGAGGAAACCCTGTCGCTACTAAACATACACAAATTAGCTGGGCATGGTGGTGCATGCCTGTAATCTCAGCTACTTGGGAGGCTGAGGCAAGAGAATCATTTAAACCCCAGGTGGAGGTTGCAGTCAGCTGAGATGGCACCATTGCACTCTAAACTCCAACCTGGTCAACAAGAGTGAAACTCTGTCTCAAATAAAAGAATGGGAGGAAACTGATTACAATAACCAAATTTCATTTAAATGCCTTGATTTTCTTGGGTAGCATCTTATTGATTGGACAACTCAGTGCCTTTTGTTTTTTCCGTCAATAACTGAAGATTCCTGAGGCTTAAACTGGAAAACAGGTTACTTAATAATAGAGGGCACCAGACAGTTACCACTCAGTTTTCCTTTATTTCTGATTGTTTCTTTACAACCATGCATCCAAGAGTAACTCCCTCAAGTATTCTCAAGCCTCCACTCTAGACATTCAAATTCCCATTTTCCACTCTACAGGACACAGGTCCCCAAAGTCCCATCGAATCCATGGCAACACTTCCCCCAAGTCCTGCCCCTGCTTGATCACCTTTCCTTTCCCACTTTCAGAGCCCATGTGTGAAATGATGGGTTCTGTGCTCCCTATAGGATGTACCTAAGACCTAGGTTTTAGTTTCCAAGTGTCCAGAAGAAAGCGTTTGACATATCCACCCAAATAGGCAGGCATTCAACAGCAGCATTGATCTGCCTCCAGGTCATAAAATGACCTGTTGCCACAGTCAGGGCAGCAGTCAGTACAGAACAAGATCCTCTTGGGGTGCCTTAAGTCCCTCACTCTCTTCATCAGCTCAGCCCTAATTTGAGGAAATCTGCTCCAGCAGAGAGTACCATCAGCATCATAACTCTCCCGGGGGGCAGGATACAGCTCCACGCATAAGTTTTTGAGTATGATTGTGTGGCTCAGCAGGTTCTCCAGGGTGGCCATGGAGATGGGATTTCCACAGAAGCTGAAGGTGTTGAGCTCAAAGCAGCGGCTCAGGGCAGGCAGGATGGCGTTGACTTGGGAGTCTATGATGCCACAGTCATCTAAATCCAGGTACTCAAGGGTGGCTGCAACTTTTTCTAGGAGAATTTGGAGAGGCACAAGACTGTAATTGGTCAGTCTGATGCCACTCAGGTCCAGGGTCTTTAGTTGACTGATACTCGGGCACTGGGATAGATGCTTCAAGTCTGATTCCAAAAGCACACAGTTAGTTATTGTGAGGACCTTTAACGAGGTCTTCAGACAGCTGGGGAGAGAGAGCAAGAAGTTAATTCTGGGGAATCATAGGGGTGAGTGGAGGGTGGTGGGGAATGGCTTCAAGGTAATGGATGGAGACCATTTTGCCCAAGTCCAGGGTCATTCTGATGGCCTGATGGTCAACATTTAGGATGATGTGTGATGAAGAGCTTTGCCACCGAGGTCAATTCCACTTTAGGCCCGGCCCAGTAACTCACACCTGTAATCCCAGCACTTTGGGAGGCTGAGACTGGTGGATTCCTTGAGATCAGGAGTTTGAGACCAGCCTGCTGAACATGGCAAAACCTCCTCTCTACTAAAAATCCAAAAATTAGCCAGGTGTGGTGGCGGGAGCCTGCAATTCCAGCTACTTGGGAAGCTGAGGCAGAAGAATCGCTTGAACCCAGGAGGTGTAGGTTGCAGTGAGCAGAGATCATGCCACTACACTCCAGCCTGGGTGACAGAGAGAGACTCCGCATTAAAAAAAAAAGGAGAAAAAAATAATTCCATTTGAGGCTGAGTCACTTCACCATCATTTATAGGAATGGATCAAGTTCACAGAATCCCTAAAGCTCCCTTTCCTCATCTGTCAGGCAGAAAACCACATCCCTGGGCCACAGGAGCCCAGTGGAGATTCAGGCATAAAGGACAAACCCAGACAGGATCCTGCAACATCAGCTACGGTGGGCGGGCTGCAGGCGTCCCTGACAAGCCTGTATCATCAGCAAACCATCTATCACTTTCACCATTCTTTGTGCCTGCTCCCTGACCCTCTGTTTCAGAATCATGCATTTCCTAGGTAATTAATTTACCTGGAGCTCAAAAGAAACTTTTACAACACGGAATTAGAGATGGGATCATTCATGTTCACGAAACTGTGGGGCACAAAGCTGATTTTCTGACATGTGCAGGTTTGCTGAGCATTCCCCTCTTCAGTGCCCACTTCACTTCCCTACTTCACATCATCTTCTTAAAAATTATCTTGTTGGCTGGGCGTGGTAGCTCTCGCCTATAATCCCAGCACTTTGGGAGTCCAAGGTGGGTGGATCACCTGAAGTCAGGAGTTGGAGAATAGCCTGGCCAACATGGTGAAACCCTGTCTCTACTTAAAATATAAAAATTAGCCAGGTGTGGTGGCTCACGCCTGTAATCCCAGGCACTCAGGAGGCTGAGGCAGGAGAATCGCTTGAACCTGGGAGGCAGAAGTTGCTGCGAGCTGAGATGTCACAACTGCACTGTAGCCTGGACGATCAAAGTGAAACTCCATCTCAGAAAAGAAAGTTATCTTGTTTGTTTTTACTTTTATTTATTCATTTCTGACAGGGGTCTTGGTATGTTACCCAGACTGGTCTTAAACTCCTAGGCTCAAGCTATCCTCTTGCCTCAGACTCCCAAACTGCTAGGATTACAGGCATGAGCCACCGCCCCTGGCCTATTTTTCATCATCTTAACTTAGACACACATCCTCAGGAAGAATTCAGAAAGGCACCCTCACTAGATCTGAACCCCCCAGGAGCTAGCTTCCTAGCATGGCAGCCTCTCCATAGCATCTCCCCTAGCTGATCCCTCTGCCTCTATTGGGAGGGTTGCATGATACCCATTTCAGGACAGGGCCGCCAACAGGACAATGCATGGACATTCTAGTGTCCCCTTCACTGTTTCATCCTCATAGGCTGGCTCACAGTAGATGCCCACTAGCGTTTACTGTAACAGGCTCTGCTGTGGTCTGCAGAGAAAGCTCACCACCCTCCCTCACCTGAGCAGCTGGTCCAGGTGGCCTTCGAGGAAAGAAACAGAGTTCATAGAAAGCTTTTGGAGGCAGCACAGCTTGAGGAACTGAGTGGTGAACTGGGTAACAATCTCCTTCTTCTGCTCTGGGGAAACGTAGCGAGAGACATCCATGTGGGAGAGAACGAGCTTCTGAAGATTCCTCATGTGGCCCAGGTATGGGGTAAACTGTGTCAGGATGGGCAGTACCCACTTGCAATTCACTTCCACCTCCTGGATACAGTCTAGGTTCACCATTTTCAGGATGCTTCTGATATTGCGGAAGGGCATTCCCAAAATTTTCAGCTTCTTACAGCACAGGTGTAGTAAATCTTTCCTCTGCTTGACCCATAGAAGGAGGCAGGTGAGGTATTCATCCAGAGTCCTGTTCTTGAGCCAAAGTTCTACGAACACAGTCAAGGGCTGCTGTCCTCTCATCCTTGGACAGTCCTGCACTGGTTTTTTGTTCCTCTTGGCATTGAGGAAGCACCCATGGGCCATAGCTTCAGACCAAACCATCCAGAAGTTCTCACAGACATCCTGTAAATCCAGCACTTGAAGTTTCCACCTCCTGTGGGAAAATAGAGGTGAGAATGAGAATTTCAGAACTCATTTCTGAACTTAAACTCCACATCCTGGAGAGCAGCTCCTCCCCTCCCTGCTTCTTGTCCCTCTCTCTGACTTTTCTTCACCCTGTTTTCCCCTTGGATCCTGCCCACTTCCACATTTTTTTGTTTTTCTTTTGAGACCACGTCTCCCTCTGTCGCCCAGGCTGGAGTGCAGTGGTGTGATGTCACCTCACTGCAACCTCTGCTTCCCGGGTTCAAATGATTCTCCTGCCTCAACCTCACAAGTAGCTGGGATTACAGGAACCCACCACCATGCCCAGCTAATTTTTGTATTTTTAGTAGAGTTGGGGTTTACCATGTTGGACAGGCTGGCCTCCAACTCTTGGCCTCAGCCTCCCAATGTGCTGGGATTACATTGTGAGCCACCGTGCCCGGCCCAGTTCTCACTTTTCATGGTGCCTTTCAGTGCCATTAGAGGAGAGGTTCCTGTTACCTCCATGGACCTTGCGTGGTGAGCAGTGCTTTCCCTGAGGAGCTGGTGAATGGCCAAGTCCTCTCGGCTTCCTCACCACCACCATCCCCCTTGGGCCTCCTCACTTGTCATGACACAGCTCTTCCTTTGGTTGGATACCTGGGCCCTCCCCACCAGCCCACCTGGGCCACCTCACCTGGGATGAACCCCTTGGGTAAGCAGTGCATCCAGCCCATCGAGCACAGCTTGGAAGGCCTCCAGACAAGGCATCTTTATCAGAGGCCTCAGAGGGAGGCGGCGGAAGGGCCAGGCCTGCACCATCAGCTTCAGGGCCTCACAGCGTCTCCTGCTGAAGGCCTCCATGAACAGTGGGGGGAAAAGTTCTGTGGGCAGCTCCTCCAGGGTGGACATGGCCAAGGCTTGGTCCCTCAGCAGGCTCCGCCCTGCAAGCTCCAGGAGTCTGGGTGGAGTCCGGATGCTCATCTTCACGAATCTGCAGGGAAAACTTCCAGAGGACAAACCCAGAGAAAAGGCATCACTCTCAGGCCAAGCCCATGCAATCTTATCTTCTCCCAAGGCCAAAGTCACTGCTCTGGCAATGGTGAAACAGCCCTCAGTTTACTCCAATTCTGCCCTGTACTCAGTGGCCATTAAGCCAGCATTCTGCCTCTGCTGCATCAGCATGAGCGTCTCCGAAGCAGTGAGGAAGCAGGGCCACCACGAGCCCTTCCTTTCTATCCAGTGCTCCATCCAGTGACTAGTGAGTGTGGAGGAACCTGAAAGTGAACCCCTCCTACCATTGGGGGAAATTACTAATTACTCAAGGTTCTAAAACAATGGGAATGGGAATGTCACAAGCCTACATGCCCACATTTTCAGTTCCTACAAATAAGCTTGTTGGGAACATTCATGGGGCATCCCTAGAACAGGTTCTATTTGTTTTCTTTTCATTATTTAAGCTTGCTTTCTCTTTCTCTCTCTTTCTTCTTTCCTTCTTTCCCTCTCTCCCTCCCTTCTTTCTTTGTTTCCTCCTCTCTCTCCCTCTTTCTTTCTTTCCCCCTCTCTCTGCCTTCTTTCTTTCTTGTCTTCTTTCCCTGCATCCCTTCTCTCATTCTCTCTCTCTTTCTCTCTCTCCCTCTCTCACTCTTTCTGACAGGGTCTTGCTCTGTCACCCAGCCTGGAGTGTAGTGGTGGGATCTCAGCTCAGTGCAGCCTTGACCTCCCAGCTCAAAGGATTCTTCCTCCTCAGCCTCCCAAGTAGCTGGGACCACAGTTATGCATCACCACACCCAGCTCATCTTTTATTTTTTGACTTTTTGTAAAGACAGTGGATTTCGCTATGTTGTCCAAGCTGGTCTTGAACTCCTAGTCTCAAGCAATCTACCCCTGTTGGCCTCCCAACATACTGGGATTATAGGTGTGAGCCTCCACCCCTGCCTCATTATTGAAAATTTCAGTGAGAAGCTCTGAAAGCTATGTGACACTGTTATGCATTACTCACAAGATAGATGTTTCCAATGCACACCTCTTACACATATTCAAAGTGAACCACTTTGGCTGGGTGCAGTGACTCACACCTGTAATCTGAGCATTTTGTGAGGCCGAGGCAGGTGGATCATCTGAGATCAGGAGTTCAAGACGAGCCTGGCCAACATGGTAAAACCCTGCCTCTACTAAGACAGCAAAAATTAGCCAGGTGCAGTGGTCTGCGCCTGTAGTCCAAGCTACTAGGGAGGCTGAGGTAGGAGGATCGCTTGAATCCAGGAGGCAGAAGTTGCAGTGAGCTGACATTATACCACTCCACTCCAGCCTGGGAAATAGGCTAGATTGAACAGAGAGACAGAGAGAGCTACATTTGATTAGAATTCTTAATCTCTACCCAGTTAATCCTGATTGGATTTTTGCCTTTCTTAAATATTAACTGATCAAATTAGATATTCATTCATCAAAATGAAAGATTTAGGGATAGGGTGAAAGTCCAGGACTCATTCACTGATTCCCTTCACAAACATGGGGTTTTACTAATATGTGTCCTTCAAAGTCCTGAGTGTGAGACAGGGAAGGGTTGAACCTCTTCCTGATATTAGACAGAAAGAAAGAAAACTTGAAAGTATCTTTGTTGAGGGATCCTTGGCCATGCCAAGTTTATCAAAATATTTCAGGGTTAAAACAGTTTTCAGAGACAGAGATGACAGTCCCTAAGAAAACACAATAGAAATCTTCATATATCCAATGATCACCTAGGTGGCATAAGTCTTTTTGGTGTTGAGGGAGCTGAATCTCACTTCATCGGCCAGGCTAGAGTGCAGTGGTGTCATTTCGGCTCACTGTTGCCTCGGCCTCCAAGATTCAAGCAATTCTCATGCTTCAGCCTTCCACATAGCTGGGACTACAGGCATGCACCCCCTGCAGCCATGTCTCCATTTGGGTGGAAGAGGATGTGATTGGTTTAAAATTAAGGTCAAAGATCCTTTTTGATTGATTTTGTTTTTGTTTTTTGGACAGGGTGTCTCTCTTTTGCCCAGGCTGGAGTACAGGAGTGGTATGAGCATGGCTCACTGCAGCCTCAATCTTCTGGTCTCAAGTGATTCTCCCACACCAGACACCCAAATAGCTGGGACTACAGATGCATGTCACCATGCTCGGCTAATTTAAAAAAAAAAAAGTAGAGGCCAAGCACCAGTGACTCACAGCTGTAATCCCAGCACTTTGGAAGGCCAAGGCAGGTGGATCACTTGAGGTCAGGTGTTCGAGACCAACCTGGCCAGCATGGTGAAACCCCACCTCTACTAAAAATACAAAAATTAGCCAGGCATGGTTTCAGATGTCTGTGACACCAGCTTCTGAGGATGGAGACTGAGGCATGAGAATTGCTTGAACCCGGGAGGTAAAGGTTGCAGTGATTTGAGATCGTGCCACTGCACTCCAGTCTGGGCAACACAGTGAGACTCCATCCCCACCCTCAAAAAAAAAAAACGTTGTGTAGAGGAGGGCTTTTGTCATGTTGCCCAGGTTGGTCTCAAACCCCTGGGCTGAAATGATCCTCCCACTTTGGCCTCCCAAAGTGTTGGGGTTAAAGGCATGAGTTATTGCTCCCTTCAAGAATTTTAAAATGGCATCAACCAAAGCACAATCAACTTTTTTGAAATAAAGACAGAACTGCATTTAGAGGAAAACATTCAAAGCTTCAAATTGTTCATATGAAAAAAAAAAAGGACAGGATATAGCTCTGTGCCATCGTAGGCTGTACTGTCACCACCCCAGACCGACTGACTGTAGGTCAGATGGGAGTGTCCTTACAGAAATTAGTGACTTACCAGATCTGGATGTAGTCTAGAAGGTGCTCAGTCCTCAGGAAGAACCAAGCAGGAACTCTAGGCTTGAAGACTTTGGGTCTCTCCTGTGGGTCTTTAGAAGCTTTTATTGACCTTTCTAATCACAACTCCCACCCACGCCCCTGCACATATCCGCTGCTACCTTCCAATCAAAAAATGATATCTGATTGCATTTGTGAAGCTCCACCCAGTTAATCCTGATTGGGTTTTTGGCTCTCCCCAGATTACCGGATTGAATCAGATGTCCATTCATATCACATATCTATATTCACTTCATGAAGCAAGAAATCGACAGTGTTAGGGATAGGGTAGAAGTCAAGAATACATTCATTCAAGGCCAGACGAAGTGGCTCACACCTGTAATCCCAGCACTCTGGGACGCAGAGGTAGGTGGATTATCTGAGGTCAGGAGTTTGAGACAAGCCTGGCCAACATGGTAAAACCCTACCTCTACTAAAATTACAAAAATTAGCCAGTTGCGGTGGTCTGCGCCTATAGTCCAAGCTACTAGGGAGGCTGAGACAGGAAGATCGCTTGAACCCAGGAGGCAGAGGTTGCAGTGAGCTGACAATACACCACTGAACTCCAGCCTGGGAAATAGGCTAGATTCAAAAAAAAAAAAAAAAAAAAAAAAAAAAAAGAAAAAGAAAAAGGAGAGAGAGAGAGCTAGATTTGATTCGAATTTACCCAGTTAATCCTGATTGGATTTTTGGCTTTCTTCCAGATTTACTGATGGAATTAGATATTCACCCATCAAAGTGAAAGATTTAGGGATGGGGTGGAAGCCCAGGACTCATTCACTGATTCCCTTCACAAACAAAATGGGGTTTTATTAATATGTGTCCTTCACAGTCCTGAGTGTGAGATAGGGAAGGGTTGAATCTCTTCCTGATATTAGACAGAAAGAAAAAACTTGAAAGTATCTTTGTTGAGGGATCCTCGGCCACATCAAATTTATCAAAATATTTCAGAGTTAAAACAGTTTTCAAAGACAGAGTTGACAGTCCCCAAGAACACACAATAGAAATCTTCATGTATCCAATGATCACCTGGGTGGTATAATCTAATTTTTTTTGGTGTGGGGGAAGCTGAGTCTCACTTTGTCGCCCAGGCTGGAGTGCAGCGGCGCCATCTCAGCTCACTGTAACCTCCACCTCTGAGATTCAAGCAATTCTCATGCTTCAGCCTTCCACGTAGCTGGGATTACAGGCATGCACCCCCACACCCATGTCTCCATTCGAGTGGAAGAATTACAGTGAGGACGTGATTGGTTTAAAATTAAGGTCATAGATCCTTTTTGGTTAAGATATTGTTTTTGTTTTTTGGACAGGGTCTCTCTCTTTTGCCCAGGCTGGAGTACAGCAGTGGTGTGAGCATGGCTCACTGCAGCCTCAATCTTCTGGGCTCAAGTGATTCTCCCACACCAGCCACCCAAATAGCTGGGACTACAGATGCATGTCACCATGCTCGGCTAATTAAAATAAAAAAAAGTAGAGGCCAAGCACCAGTGACTCACAGCTGTAATCCCAGCACTTTGGGAGGCCAAGGCAGGTGGATCACTTGAGGTCAGGTGTTCGAGACCAACCTGGCCAGCATGGTGAAACCCCACCTCTACTAAAAATACAAAAATTAGCCAGGCATGGTTTCAGATGTCTGTGACACCAGCTTCTGAGGATGGAGACTGAGGCATGAGAATTGCTTGAACCCGGGAGGTAAAGGTTGCAGTGATTTGAGATCGTGCCACTGCACTCCAGTCTGGGCAACACAGTGAGACTCCATCCCCACCCTCAAAAAAAAAAAAACGTTGTGTAGAGGAGGGCTTTTGTCATGTTGCCCAGGTTGGTCTCAAACCCCTGGGCTGAAATGATCCTCCCACTTTGGCCTCCCAAAGTGTTGGGGTTAAAGACATGAGTCATTGCTCCCTTCACGAATTTTAAAATGGCATCAACCAAAGCACAATCAACTTTTTTGAAATAAAGACAGAACTGCATTTAGAGGAAAACATTCAAGCTTCAAATTGTTCATATGAAAAAAAAAAGGACAGGATATAGCTCTGTGCCATCGTAGGCTGCACTGTCACCATCCCAGACCGACTGACTGTAGGTCAGATGGGAGTGTCCTTACAGAAATTAGTGGCTTACCAGATCTGGATGTAGTCTAGAAGGTGCTCAGTCCTCAGGAAGAACCAAGCAGGAACTCCAGGCTTGAAGACTTTGGGTCTCTCCTGTGCGTCTTTAGAAGCTTTTATTGACCTTTCTAATCACAACTCCCACCCACGCCCCTGCACATATCCGCTGCTACCTTCCAATCAAAAAATGATATCTGATTGCATTTGTGAAGCTCCACCCAGTTAATCCTGATTGGGTTTTTGGCTCTCCCCAGATTACCGGATTGAATCAGATGTCCATTCATATCACATATCTATATTCACTTCATGAAGCAAGAAATCGACAGTGGTAGGGATAGGGTAGAAGTCAAGAATACATTCATTCAAGGGTGGGTGAGGTGGTTCATAGCTGTAATTCCAGCACTTTGGAAGGACAAGGTGAGTAGATCACCTGATGTCAGGGGTTCAAGACGAGCCAGGTCAAAAAGGTGAAACCCTGTCTCTACAAAAATACAAAAATACAAAAATTACCTGGGCATGATGGCAGGTGCCTGAAACCCAGCTACTTGGGAGGCTGAGGCAGGAGAATTGCTTGAACCCAGGAGGCAATGGTTGCAGTGAGCCAGAATTGTGCCACTGCACTCCAGTCTGGGTGACAGAGGGACATTCTGTCAAAAAATAAAAAAATCATTCATTCATGAACTCCACAAACACTGATGGTATTTTACTAATATGTGAACTTCATAGTCTTGAGTGACAGGCAGGGAAGGATTTGATCTGTTCCCAACATTAGACAGAAAAATAAAATCTGAAAGTAGTGTTGTTAGGAGATCTTTGGCCACATCAAAATATAAAAATGCTTTCTACTTTAAAAAGCTTTATAAAAACAGAGGAGTCGTCCCTAGGAAATCAGAATAAAAATCTCAATGTATTGAATGGTCTTCGGGATTTTGTATAACCTAAGGTAGCAGATTACATGCTCATTCTGGTGGAGGAGAGGTGCCACTGAGGGCGTGAGTGGTCTCAGGGCTTAGGTTAAGTCTTCTTTGGAAGAAATTGAAGCCACATCGATAAACTTTATAAATTTAATCAGTGAAGAAGGGAGGGAGAGAAACAAAAATAAACCAAGCTTGGAACACATTCAGCATTCATCAGGAGGTCTTCTTGCTCTCTGACCTGGTTCCTCATGGTTGCTGGCAACCTACTGTTCCAAAATCATATAGACCTTAGATTACAGTTCCCCTTAACTTCCCTGCAGACAACCATTTAAGCATTGTAAAACATTAACTTTTTCATCTGAGATATTCTTTCAGGTTCTGCATGTCAGTGAATCTACTGATGCCAGCTGATCTGAAGGGCCCTGCAATGCACCAACTCACCAAAGAATGCAGTTTCTACATCCTGTTGACTTCTTCCCTCTTACCGCTACCCCAACTTTCCGGCCCCTTGCTATCCAGGATCCACTGGAAACCCTCAGTACTCCTTGGGGAGATGAATTTGAGGATCTCCTCCTAGCTTCTCATTCAGCCACCTTGTGATCATTAAACTCTCTGCTGCAAACCCTGCTGTCTCAGAATATTGCTAAGCTACTGTGCAGCAGGCATAGGAACCTGATGGTCCTGTAATAAAGTCATGTCAAAATTACAAATGGAAGTGAGGGTGGAGCTGGTCAGGGTTGAGCTGGGTTTTTAATGGGAACCTGGGAGTGAACCAAGACTTGCTGAACATGTTGGGGGTTATCGAGTGGGTGTAAGAGGAATCTATCTAACATTGCACTGATGCGCTTTTGGTTTTAATCCTCATGACCAAGTATGAGTCTTTCAAAACAATTTGTATAATCCTCCTTATTTTTCCTTTCAAAACCTTCAACTTCCTTTATCTCCCCAAATAATCTCACATCTATTCCCATTTCTTTGCTTACTACATAATAAACATTTTTTTTACAGAGTCTTCTTCTCTGTTAAGTAGACCACATATGTTGTTGCCACACAAGATGAGCAACCTGGTTCTATGGACAGAAAGGGTCAAAAGGATCCCATTCCTCAACAGCTGGGGGTGATGTAAAGGTCATGGTTATTCTTTGTCATATCTGCACCTGCATATTGCCAGTGAAAACTTGCAGGTTACATTGGGCAGGCTTCCAAATTCACCACCTGTGGAAGGTCTTTTGCTTGGCTTACATCCTGTCCCTGAGTAAAGAATCTCATGGTGAGTTCATGAGTGCCTCAAACTCTGCAAGTATTGATGAAGGCTTCCACCCACTGACAGTGAGAAGGCACTGATTTGATGGTGATCATGAAGTTTTGCTGGTTGTCTTGCAAGGAATATGTTTTATTCTTTTATCTTGTCATCTAAAGCCAATGATTGTAACCTCTGTATTGTCTCTTCCAATGGAAAAAACGAAAACAAAAACTCAACTCTATTTGAGCCTTGTCAGGTCAATAAAACAAAAGAAAATTTAAAAAAATAATTGATAGGAGGAGTCCCATTCCCAGCCTGGGCAATAGAGTGAGACTCCATCTCAAAAGAAAAAAAAAAAAAGGCCGGGCACGGTGGTGGCTCACACCTGTTATCCCAGCACTTCAGGAGGCCAAGGCAGGTAGATCCCGATGCCAAAAAATTGAGACCATCCTAGCCAACATGGTGAAACCCTGTCTCTGCTAAAAATACAAAAATTAGCTGAGCATGGTGGCGCCCACCCATAATCCTAGCTACTCGAGAGACTGAGGCAGGAGAGTCGCTTGATCTCAGGAGGAGGAGGTTGCAGTCAGCCAAGATTTCACCACTGCACTCCAACTTGGTGACAGAGCGAGACTCCATCTCAAAACAAACAAACAAGGAAACAAACACAAATGAACAAACAAAGGAAAAAGCTGGAAAAATAAGTTCTGAAAGAATTTCCATCTCTATGAATTCATCTTCAGAAGTGATAGCATTTCCTGCTTGGCATTTTTCGCCTACATTTTTGGCATAAGATCTATCAACAAAAAAGTATGAACCCAGGTTTGTGTAATGGAATATCTTAAACATCAATAGGAGGAGTCAATAGTTCTGATGCCACACACACATATATGGTCTTCTCCATCATCAGAAAATGGCAACAAAGTGGTAGAGTTATGCAGAGTGTAGCATTTGAAATGGAGATTTGAAGGTGACAAGGAAAGGATTTTGTAAGACATTAGTGTACAAGTTGAGCAATGTTGGTTCCTGTCACAGTATTTTTATTTATTTTTTTATTTATTTTATTCATTTATTTTTTGAGATGGAGTCTCACTGTGTCACCAGGCTGGAATGCAGTGGCACGATCTCAGCTCATTTCAACCTCTGCCTCCCCGGTTCAAGCAATTTTCCTGCCTTAGCCTCCTAAATAGCCGGGACTACAGGTACATGCCACTACACCTGGCTAATTTTTTGTATTTTTAGTAAAGACGGGGTTTCACCATATTAACTAGGATGGTCTCAATCTCCTGACTTCGTGGTCTGCCTGCCTCGGCCTCCCAAAGTGCTGGATTACAGGCCTCAGCCACCATGCCTGGTCGGTTCACATCAAAATTTAAGAGGTATTCAATTGCATATGAAACTTGTAGGCAAAATTTATTTCTTTTTTCTTTAAAGCATTAATTTATTTATTTATAATGTATTTATTTATTAATTTTTTTTTGAGATGGAGTTTTATTCTTGTTTTCCAGGCTAGAGTTCAATGGTGCGATCTCAGCTCACTGCAACCTCTGCCTCCCGGTTCAAGTGATTCTCCTGCCTCAGTCTCCCAGTTAGCTGGAATTACAGGCACAGGCCACCACACACAGCTAGTTTTTGTATTTTTAGTAGAGACAGAGTTTCACCATGTTGCCCAGGCTGGTCTGGAACTCCTGACCACAGGTGATGCACCCACCTCGGCCTCTGAAAGTGCTGAGATTACAGGTGTGAACCACCGTGCCCGGCCTACACTCATCACTTTTAATACTTTCTACATCACATGAGGAAGAAGAGCAGAAACACTTGAGTACTTCATGAAGGTCAAGGTTGGTATGAGTTTGGGTTCTAATATGATCAATTTCTGCTTCTAGGGAACCAAGCAGCTCAGGTTAAGGAAGGTCAGGAAACTCTAGGGTTTTCTCTCCCTTCAAAGAAAGCTTTACGTATCACCTTAATGGAGAAAGCAAATCTCATCCCCATGTTGTCACCTAATAAAAAGCCATACTTTCCTAAAAATGGTCCAAATGTCATTTGGACTGCTTTGAACACAGGAATTTTCTGAGCTTCATGTGAAGCTTTCAGTGAATTTCATGTGAATTCACTCCTGGTCCAATGAAGCCATTTCCTGGCATGGCCAAAGATCAGGAACGGATTCCTCTGGATCTGTCCATTAGGAGTGAGCAGGGTCTCAGTATCTGGGGAGCAGTGAGGGCCCCTGAGAAGAGGGTAGGTTTCAGTGGCTCATCATCACTGCCCACACAGAATGTTCCAGGCCCCAAGTGTGCATCCTTTGTGAATGAACCCAGTGAACAGGCATGGGAGAAATTAAGGAAGAAACAGATGACTGAAAGGAAGCAAAAAATGAGTGAGAACTAATCAAAATGATCACATTTCAGTTTTGATGCCTTGATTTGCTGCAGCTGAACCTCAATCACAGATGACGTAGTACCTCTCATCAGTAACTAGAGATTTCTGATATATAAATGGCTAAAACAGGTTGATCAATCATGGAAGACACCAGAAAGTTTCCATTCAGGTTCCATTTATTTTTGACATTTTTAAATAACCATCCTTGCGAGGGTAACTCCTGCATCATTCTAGAACTTCAGGTTCCATTTCCGAGTCTAGGAAACAGGTCCCTGAAGGCTTTATTGATGCCAAGTCAGCATTTTCACCAAGTCCTGCCCCCAGCTGAGTCACCTTTGTTTTTCCACTCACAGTCAGCACGTGCCTGAAACACATGACCGTGTGCTTCCTTTAAGATGCACCTGACCGGGCCAGGCTGCTCATGCCTGTAAACCCGGCACTGTGGAAGTCCAAGGTAGTCAGATCACTTGAGGTCAGGAGTTTGAGGCCAGCCTCCTCCAACATCGTGAAACCCTGTCTCTACTAAAAATACAAAAATTACACTTTGGGAGGCCGAGGCGGGTGGATCACGAGGTCAGGAGATCGAGACCATCTTGGCTAACTTGGTGAAACCCTGACTCTACTAAAAATACCAAAAATTAGCTGGGTGTGGTGGTGGGCACCTGTAGTCCCAGCTACTCTGGAGGCTGAGGCAGGAGAATGGCGTGAACCCTGGAGGCGGAGGTTGCAGTGAGCCGAAATCGTGCCAGTGCACTCCAGCCTGGGTGACAGAGCGAGACTCTGTCTCAAAAAAAAAAGAAAAAAAATACAAAATTAGCTGGATGTGGTGGTGCATGCCAGTAACACCAGCTACTAGGGAGGCTGAGGCAGGAGAATCACTTGAACCTGGGAGGTGGAAGTTGCAGTGAGCTGAGATTGTGCCAGTGCACTTCAGCCTGAGGGACAGAGTGAGACTCCATCAAAAAAAAAAAGCACCTGTGTCCTAGATTTTAGTGCCCAAGGGTCCAGAAGAAAACGTGTCCATCCCACTAGCCAGGCCTTCCCTAAGAGCAAAGATGGAGGTCCACTTTCTCAGATGGCCATGAGCCACAGGAAGGGCAGGGGACGGGACCAAAAAAGATCCTCTTGGGCTGCCTGACTTCCCTGAGTGTACACATCAGCTCAGCCCGAATTGGGGCAAGGATCTCCCAATTGGCATGACCCCTGTTGTCAAGACTCTCCAGACGGGAAGGATACAACTCCAGGCCTAACTTGCTCAGCCCACCTGTGTGACACAGAAGGTCTTTCAGAGCATTCATGGAAGTCTCGTTTCCTTGAAAGTAGAAGGTGGTGAGCTGGGAGCAGTGGCTCAGGGCAGGCAGGAGGACCCTGAGTTGGGAGTCCTGGATCTGACAGTCCTTTAACGTGAGGGTCTCAAGAGTAGCAGCAACTTTCTCTAGCAGAGCTCCAAGGGGCTCAAGATTGGTGGTCCACATTAGGATATGAATCAGATGCAGCTCCTTTAGCTGACTGAGGCTTGGGTACTGAGACAGACACTCCATGTCCCGATCAGCTAGGTAAGCATGACAGAATATAAAGGCCCCCAAGAGGTTCTTGAGGCACCTGGGGAGAGCAAGAAATTAGTTATGGGCAATGGTGCCAGTTAGAGGAGAGGGGTGGGAAATCATCTCAATGGTAAACTTGAAGTGGGCATTGAGTAATTCTGCACCTTACTACCACACAGGTGTTATAGTAACTGCAATGGGGAAGCCTGTTTCACCCAAACACAAGTTTGTTCCCATCATCAGATGATGGTCTGTGTGCAAGGTGCTGCCTGATGAAGACTCAGATCATTCAGGGGCAGCTCCATTTTAGGCTCAGTCCTTTCAGCCTTGCTTGTGTGATTGGTTCAAGGCCACAAAATCTTTAAAGCCTCTTTACTGCATCTTTCAGCAGACAACCTCATCTCTGGGCCAGAGGAGCCCAGTGGGAGATGTGCACAAAGAACTCAACTGAGCAAGGTCTAGGGACATCAGCTAGGGCCACCTGCCTGCAAAGGTTCCCTGACGTGCCCGCGTCTGCAAACCACCTATCACTTTATACCACTCTCCTGCCTACTCCCTCACCTCTGTCCAAGAAGCATGCTTTTCTCATGTCAACTACTTTTCCTGGGGTTCAAAAGAACCTTTTACAGACAGAGAATTAGAGGCAGGATCATTGGTGTTTACTAAGCTGTGAGGACGGAGCTTCTACTGTGAAACGCACAGGTTTGATGCACTTTCCCTTCTTTCATACTCTCCTCTATATGAAGAGTAAGTTTCATCATATTAACTTCAAACGCACTTCCTAAAAAGGAATTCACAAATGCACCCTCCCTAGATCTGAACCCCTGACTAACTAGATCCCTGCATGTCTCTCTCTGTAGCATCTGGCCCGGGCCATCCCTCTGCCCTTATTTGAGCGGGTTTGTGATACCCACTTCAGGATATAGAGCACTGAACAGCATAATGAGTTGACATTCTAGCGTCCCATTCCCTGTGACATCACCAGTGGCTGGCACACAGTAGATGCCCACTAGCGTTTACTGTGAAAAAGAACAAAAGTCTGTGGTATGGTCCGCAGAGAAAGCTCACCATCCTTTCTTACCTGAGCAGGTGCTCCAGGTCTTTGATATTATTGACCTTTCTTATATAAAGCATCTGAGGGTAGGACAGGCAGAGGAATGGACAGTCCAAGTCAGGAACGAACTATTGTTGGCCGCTTACATATAACTCACTGTCATAACCGAAGGCTAAAAAGAGTTTGCGAAGATTGCTCATCTGGCTCAGGTAAGGGGCAAACTTTCCTGTTTTATTCAGAGAGCACTTTCTCCTAACTTCCAACTGCTAGATACTGTCTGGGTATACCCTTTTCAATAAATTTCTGAAACTTGAAGTGGGCATTGAGTAATTCTGCACCTTATTACAGCACAGGTGCACTAGACCTCTTCTGTAGTGGATCTACCCACAAAGGTAGCTCAGGCATTCATCCAGTGTACTTTTCTTTAGGCAGCGGTCTATGAACACCTTCAAGGGCTGGCACTCTCCCATCCTTGGACAGTCCTCCACTGTCTGCCTTTTACTCATGGCCTCTGGGGAGCAGGAGAGGACCTTGGCTCCAGACCATATGGTCCAGAAATTCCCATCAACATCCCGCAAATCCAGCACTTGAAGTTTCCACCTCCTGTGAGTAACACAGGGGAAAAGCTCAGAATGTAGGCAAGGACCCACCCCTGACCTGAGCTTTCACTCCACATCCAGGACATCAGTCAGCTGCTCCTGTCCTCAGTGCTCCTCCTTCTGTCTCTTCTCCATCCCGCTCCCCCTTGGGTTCTGCCTGGTTCTCACTTCTAGAATCTTTACGTTCCACTGGGAGAAAGCAGGTTCCTGTTTCCTCAGTGGACCCTGTATGGTGAGCAGTCCTTTCCCAGAGGATCTGGGCAATGGTCAAGGCCTCTCATGGGCACCATCAGAAGCCTCTGAGCCACCCTAGCTCCCCAACCCCACCACTCCTCCTGAGCCAGCTGTCCCTTCCCTGGATGCCTGGACCCTTCCCACCAGGCCACCTGAGTCACCTCACCTGAGGCAAACCTTCTGGGCCAGCAGTGTATCAAGTCCCTTCAGCACAGCTTGCAAGGTCTCCAGATGAGGTGTCTTCATCAGGGATCCCAGAGGGAGGTGGAGGAAGGACCAGGCCTGCACCATCAGCTTCAGGGCCTCACAGCGTCTCCTGCTGACGGCCTCCATGAACATCAGAGGGAAGACCTCCCTGGGCAGCTCGTCCAGGATGAAGATGGTCAAGAACTGGTTCCTCAGTAGGCTCTGCCCTGCCAGCTCCAGGAGTCTGGATGGGGACTGGAGGCTCATTCTGACAAATCTGCAAGGAAAAACTCTAGAGGACAATCCAGTGAAAAGGCAAGTTTCTCAGGCCAATCCCCTGCAATCCCCGCTTCTCCTAGGGCCAAAGTCATTTCTCTAGCATGTGTGAAAGAGCCCTCAGTTTACTCCAATTCCATTCTGCAATAAGTGGCCACAGAGGCATAGTTCTGCCCTTCTGGTACTAAGAAGAGTGTGTCCCAACCTCTAAAGAGCAGGCAAGATCCCTCCTATAGGGTCCATGAATTATTAGCCACTGCACTACTACACTGATAGCACTGGGAAGTGTTAGCAAGGATCTTTGAAGCTCAGATCTCCACTTTTTTGAGAAAACAAAATGTCTTCTTGGCCAGGCACGGTGGCTCATGCCTGTAATCCCAGCACTTTAGGAGCCCAAGGTGGGCGGATCATGAGGTCAGGAGATCGAGACCAGCCCGGCCAACATGGTGAAATACCATCTGTACCGATACAAAATATTAGCTGGGTGTGGTGGTCCCTGCCTGTAATCCCAGCTACTTGGGAAGCTGAGGCAGGAGAATCTCTCAACCCGAGGTCCAGAGTTTGCAGTGAGCCAAAATCTAGCCACTGCATTCCAGCCTGGGTGGCAGAGTGAGACTCTGTCTCAAAAAAAAAAAAAAAAAAAAAAAAAGTAAAGGGAAGCCAAGCATGGCGGCTTACAGCTGTAATCCCAACACTTTGGGAAGCCAAGGCAGAACAATCACTTGAGCCCAGGAGTTCCAGACCAGCCAGGGCAACATAGTGATAGCCCATGTCTACTAGACTCTACTAGAATATTAAGTAATTATCTGAGCATTGTGGCACATGCCTATAGTCTCAGCTACTCTGCACATGGAGGTGGGAGGATGGCTTGAGCCTGGGAAGCAGAGGTTTCAGTTATCTGAGATTTTGCCACCACACTCCAGCCTGGGCAACAGAGAAAGACCCTGTCTCAAGTAATAATAATAATAATAATAATAATAATAATAATAATAATAATAACAACACACTTTGGGATTGAGTCTAGGGGAAGAAATGGATCCTACATTCAAAACAAAGACTCTACTCTTGAAAATAGTGTATGGGGCCAGACATGGTGGCTCATGCCTGTAATCCCAAGACTTTAGGAGACAAGGTGGGGGGTTTGCTTGAGTCCAGGTGTTCCAGACCAGCCTGGCTAACAAAGCGAGACCCCATCATTATAAAAAAATTTAATAGAACATAGTGGAAGGAATATCTTTATAATTTTAGTAAAAAACAAAGCCTATCTTTCAAAATCACAATAGCATTCTTGGGTGGGGTGACTCTTGCCTGTAATCCCAGCACTTTGGGAGGCTAAGGGCTGGCAGATTACATGGAGTCCAGGGGTTCCAGACCAGCCTGGGCAATATGGTACAACCCCATCTCTACTAAAAATACAATTAGCCAGGCCTCATGGTGTGGGTCTGTAATCCCAGCTACTGGGAAGGCTGAGGTGAGAAGATCCCTTGAATACAGGAGACAGAGGTTGCACTGAGGCAATTATCACACCACTGCAGTACAGCTGGGTGACAGAGTGAGACTTTGTCTCAAGAAATTAAAATCATAATAACATAGTCTATAAACTGCAAATTAAGAGCACACAATCTACAAATTTTAAATGTCAAGGAATCAGACATTAATTAATTGGATTCTTTTTTTTTTTTAATTGAGACGGAGTCTATTGCCCAGGCTGGAGTGCAATGGCATGATCTCGGCTCACTGCAACCTCCACCTCGCGGGCTGAAGCAATTCACCTGCCTCAGCCTCCTCAGTAGCTTGGATTACAGACATGTGCCACCATGCCCAGTTAATTTTTGTATTTTCAGTAGAGAAGGCGTTTCACTGTGTTGGTCAGCCTGGTCTCAAATTCCTGACCTCAGGTGATGCACCCACCTTGGTCTCCCAAAGTGCTGGGATTACAGGCATGAGCTGCTGTCCCTGGCCCAGTTGGATTCTTTTTTAGTTCTTTGGTTAAGAATTTTGGAATGACATAAAACAAAGCACAAATACATTTTTTTTTCCTTTTTAAGGCAGAGTCTTGCTGGGTCACCCAGGTGTGCACCACCATGCCCGGCTAATGTTTGCATTTTAAGTAGAGATGGAGTTGGCCTCATGTGATCTGGCTGCCTTGGCCTTTCAAGGTTGCTGGAATTACAGGTGTGAGCCATCACGGGAGTCTCAGCTACTTGGAAGGCTGAGGAGGGAGGATCCGTTGAGCGTGGGGGGCAGAGGTTGCAGTGAGGTGAGGAGTTTGAGAGCAGTGTGGCCAACATGGCAAAATCTCATCTCTACTAAAAATACAAAAATTAGCTGCGCATGGTGGCAGGTGCCTTGTAATCCCAGCTACTTGGGAGGCTGAGGCGGGAGAATTGCTTGAAGCCGGGAGGCGGAGGTTGCAGTGAGCTGAGATCGCGACACTGCACTCCAACGTGGGCGACAGAGTGAGACTCCTTCTTGGAGAAAAAAAAAAAAAGAACTTTGAAATGTGGCAGGGCCCAGTAGCTCATGCCTATTATCCCAGCACTTTGGGAGGCCAAGGCAGGTTAATCACTTGAGAGGTCAGGAGTTCAAGACCAGCCTGGCCAACATGGTGAAAACTTACCTCTACTAAAAATACAAAATCAGGGCTGGGCACGGTGGCTCACACCTGTAATCCCAGCACTTTGGGAGGCCGAGGCGGGCGGATCACGAAGTCAGGAGTTTGAGACAAGCCTGGCCAACATGGTGAAATCCCATCTCTACTAAAAATACAAAAATTAGCCAGGTGTGATGGTGGTTGCCTATAATCCTAGTACTCGGGAGGCTGAGGTAGGAGAATCACTTGAACCTGGGAGGTGGAGGTTGCAGTGAGCCGAGATTGTGCCTGTCAGGTCTCTGAGCCCAAGCCAACCCATCGCATCCCCTGTGACTTGCACGTATACATCCAGATGGCCTGAAGTAACTGAAGATCCACAAAAGAAGTAAAAACAGCCTTAACTGATGACATTCCACCATTGTGATTTGTTCCTGCCCCACCCTAACTGATCAATGTACTTTGTAATCTCCCCCACCCTTAAGAAGGTACTTTGTAGTCTCCCCCACCCTTAAGAAGGTTCTTTGTAATTCTCCCCACCCTTGAGAATGTACTTTGTGAGATCCACCCCTGCCCACCAGAGAACAACCCCCTTTGACTGTAATTTTCCATTACCTTCCCAAATCCTATAAAATGGCCCCAACCCTATCTCCCTTCACTGACTCTCTTGTCGGACTCAGCCCGCCTGCACCCAGGTGAAATAAACAGCCGTATTGCTCACGCAAAGCCTGTTTGGTGGTCTCTTAACAAGGACGCGCATGAAAGTGCCATTGCCCTGCAGCCAGCGCAAGAGTGACGCTCCGTCTCAAAAAAAAAAAAAAAAAAAAAAAAAAAGAAGCTTATCAAGCCCTGAAGCAATATGGGAAAAAAAAAATACAAAATTTAGTCAGGCATAGTGGTGGGCGCCTGTCATTCCAGATAGTAGGGAGGCTGAGGCAGGAGAATCACTTGATCCGGGAGGCGGAGGTTGCAGTGAACCAGGATCGCACCACTGCACTCCAGCCTGGGTGACAGAGCAAGTTTGTCTCAAAAAAATAAAATAAAAGAGAACTTTGAGATGGCATAAACTAAAACAGAAATAAAATATTTGGAGAGTGGCTGGGCGTGGTGGTTCATGCCTGTAATCTCAGCACTTTGGGAGGCTGAGGCAGGTGAACCACGAGGTCAGGAGTTCAAGACCAGCCTGGCCAACATGGTGAAACCCTGTCTCTCTAAAAATACAAAAAAAATTAGCCAGGCGTGGTGGTGGGCGCCTGTAGTCCCAGCTACTCGGGAGGCTGAGGCAGGAGAATTGCTTGAACTCAGGAGGTGGAAGTTGCAATGAGCCGAGATCGTGCCACTGCATTCCAGCCCAGGCAACGGAGTGAGGCTCTGTCTCATAACAAACAAACAAACAAAAATATATATGTAGATATATATTTGGAGTGTAGATAAAAGTATATTAGAGGAAAAATCAAAGCCTACATCTTTTCATCTGAAAAACAGACAGGAGAATTCTCTGTGTCGTCTTGACCTCCGTGTCGTCATCCTGACTGTCTGACTGTGGGTCATAGGAGTGCCCTTTGTGGAGGTCCCTGACTTATCAGATCTGGACTCACTTTGCAGTGTGCTCGGATCTTGTGGAGAACCAAGAAGTAACTCCAGGCACCACAGCTCTGGGTCTCTTCTGGGGGTGCTCACAAGCTTTCTTGAACCTTTCTCATCACACCTCCCCTTTTCAACCACCAGCTTCCCATCAGAGAGTGATGCCTGATTGGATTTCTGAAGCTCCACCCAGTTAAGCCTGTGAATTCAGGTGTCCATTCAATCCCTTGGATATCCAATCATGAAATTGAAAGTGTTGGGATTAGAATGCAGGTCAAGAATTCATTTTGATAACGTTGATCCAGCCAAAGTTCTCTGAACCATAAAGCTTTCAGGTTTTGTTTTTGTGTCTAATCTCAGGAGCAGATTGAACCCTTCCCTGTCTCAAACTCAAAAATAGGAAGGAAGGTCACATATTAGTACAATTCATTCTCTGTGGAGGGCATTAATGAATGAATTCTTGACTTCCACCCTAATCCTAACAAACACTGATGGAATTTACTAAGGGACTGACTGATAAGGTGGATGGTGTGTGCCTGTAATCCCATTGAGCAATTCATATTGAGGAATTATTTTCTTATTTTGCTGAGAATATTTTTAAAATCCTGAATGAGTCATTGAATTTTTTCAAATGTTTTTCGTACATCAATTAAGATGATCATTTTCTGGTGCTTTTATTCTATTTATTTGTTTAAATACGTTTGTTGAATTTTTTTTTTTTTTTTTTGGGGGGGAGACAGAGTCTCGCTCTGTGGTCCTGGCTGGAGTGCAGTGGCGTGATCTCGGCTCACTGCAACCTCCATCTTCTGAGTTCAAGCAATTCTCCTGCCTCAGCCTCCTGAGTGGCTGGGATTACAAATGTGCACCATCACGCCTGGCTAATTTTTGTATTTTTACTAGAGACAGCGTTTCCCATGTTGCCCAGGCTGGTCTTGAACTTGTAATCTCTGGTGATCTGCCCACCTCGGCCTCCCAAAGTTGTTGGGAGTGCAGGCGTGAGCCACTGCACGTGGCCCAATCATGCATGTTTGGTTGATATTCAAATGTTAAAACCATTTTCATTGTCCCTTTGGTCACTTTTATAAATTGTTGGAAGACACATAGGTGGATGGGATTGGAAGGAGAAGAGTGGAGAGACAGGTGGCCCTAAAGTGGGTGGAAGGTACATATGCCTTCATTTTACTGAGGACTAAGGTCTGAATTTTTTATCTTGCCCAAATTCCTAAGGAGTCTACAGAGTCATGCCCCAAAATCATAAATTCCCATCAGATGAGTTTTTTTAGCCCTGTATATGGTGACTTACTTTCCAATCTGACTCTGGCATAACATCCTGTGACAGAGGAGAAAGTCAAGATATTTTGCCCCAAGGCATGTTTCTTTGCCATATCTTGAAATGGCCCTGCAAAGCTGTCCTTTATGGGGGAAAATCTGCATCTGTAAAGAATCTCTATTAACACAGCTAGATCTTTTTCTTGCAGGCCCTCCCAGTCCTGAAGAGATGGACTGTCTGGTAATTTTAAGGGTCTGAATAGCAAACATCTGTCATCTGTTGTCTCGAAGGGTGGCCACTATGAGATTTCAAAAGAACCTCGGTCTCCACAATCTTTTATTTCACCCTGACCATTTCCTTTCTATGGATCCCAGGTCTTTAGACAAACTCAACCAATTGTCAACCAGAAAATGTTTAAATTTACCTATAGCCTGGAAGCCCCCGACCCTTCAGTTGTCTCTCCTTTCTGAGCCAAACCAATGTAATTCTTTTCTTTTCTTTTCTTTTCTTTTCTTTTCTTTTCTTTTCTTTTCTTTTCTTTTCTTTTCTTCTCTTCTCTTTTCTTTTCTTCTCTCTCTCTCTCTCTCCCCCTCCCTCCCTCTCTCCCTCTCTCTTTCTTTCTTTCACACAGATTCTCACTCTGTCACCCAGGCTGAAATGCGGTGGTTTGCTCTTGGCTTACTGCGATCCCTGTCTCCCAGGTTCAAGTAATTCTCCTGTCTCAGCCTCCCGAGTAGCTGGGAATACAGGCACACACCATCACACCTGGCTAATTTTTGTATTTTTACAAAAATTAGACGGGGTTTCACTATGTTGGCCAGGCTGGTCTCTAACTCCTGACCTCAGATGATCCACCCGCCTCGGCCTCCTAAAGTGCTGGGATTACAGGCGTGAGCCACCACTCACCCAGCCATGTATTTCTTTTTTCTTTCTTTCTTTTTTTTTTTTTTTTTTGAGATGG
Source organism: Homo sapiens (assembly GCF_000001405.40). Lineage (NCBI taxonomy): Eukaryota > Metazoa > Chordata > Mammalia > Primates > Hominidae > Homo > Homo sapiens. Next base: position 182,916 of record NT_187517.1, on the reverse strand, counting down.
ATTCTGGCTCTGTCACCCAGTCTGGGATGCAGTGGTGTGATCTCAGCTCCCTGCAAACTCCACCTCCCAGATTCAAGCAATTCTTCTGCCTCAGCCTCCTGAGTAGCTGGGATTAAAGGTGTGTAGCACCGTGACAGGCTAATTTTTGTATTTTTAGTAGAGATGGGGTTTCAGCATGTTGGCCAGGCTGGTCTCGAACTCCTGACCTCAAATGATCCACCCACCTCAACCTCTGAAAGTGCTGGGATTACAGGCGTGAGCCACAGAACCAGGGGGACTGGCCATATATTTCTTAGATGTATTTAATTGATGTTTCATGTACCCCTAAACTGTATAAAACCAACCTGCGCCCCAAACAACCCTGGGCACGTGTTCTCCAGACCTCTTTTTTTTTTTTTTTTTTTGAGATGGAGTCTTGCTCTGTCACCCAGGCTGGAGTGCAGTGGCACGATCTCGGCTCAATGCAAGCTCTGCCTCCCGGGTTCACGCCATTCTCCTGCCTCAGCCTCCCGAGTAGCTGGGACTACAGGCGCCCACCACCATGCCCACCTAATTTTTTTTTGTATTTTTAGTAGAGACAGGGTTTCACCATTTTAGCCAGGATGGTCTCGATCTCCTGACCTCGTGATCCGCCTGCCTCGGCCTCCCAAAGTGCTGGGATTACAGGCATGAGCCACTGCGCCCAGCCTCTCCAGACCTCTTGAGGGCTGTGTCATGGGCCATGGTCATTCATATTTGGCTCAGAATAAATCTCTTCACATATATTACAGAGTTTGACTCTTTTTGTCAACATTACTATTATATTTTTCAACTGCATACATATTATATGTGTGTATTTACTATATACAGTGTTCTGTTGGTATGTATCATTTATTTTACTACTTATTTATTTTAAGTTTGGAAGGGAGAGCTTTATTTTTCATAAAAGGTGGCCATGGCCAGGCAAGGTGGCTCACAGCTGGAATTCCAGCACCTGATCCCAGTGAGTGGATACCCTGATGTCAGGAGATCGAGACCAGCCTGGCCAACATGTTGAAACCCTGTCCCTACTAAAAATACAAAAATCAACTGGGCATGGTGGCCCACGCCTGTAATCCCAGCTACTTGGGAGGTTGAGGCAGGAGAATGACTTGAACCTGGGAAGCAGAGGTTGCAGTGAGCCGAGATGGCGCCACTGCACTCCAGCCTGGGCGACAGAAGGAGACTCCGTGTCAAAAAAAAAAAAAAAAAAAAAAAAAAGAGTGGCCAAGTGTCGGATGGCCACTCTGACAGGAGAAGCAGCATCAGGCAGTTGGTTGCTATGAGTGGTAGATTCTTAAAGAGCTGGTTTCTGTTTGACCCTTAAGGAAGAAAGGCTAATGGTGGTTAGCAAGGGAGGGGGTATAGTGAAGCTTGTGGACCCCCCCCGCCCAACATCTCGTTCTCCTTGAGAACTCAGTTTTCAAGGATAACTGGGGTTTCCTCTTGACCAACAGGGGGTCTGTTTCTTCAGTTAGGGGGCTTAGAAATTCACTGTTATTTCTCATTTTCCCCCCTGTTCATCAGGATATGCCAGAAGCAGCATCAATGGCCAAAGTTTTAATTTGTCTCATGTGGATGACAGGGTGGCGGAGCTACCTGCCTTGGTCCACCCAGCCCCTAGGTGGGACTCCTATGGACGTGAGATTCAGAGCCAAAAGACTTACAGCCAATTAAAGCATCCTAGGCCAGATGAGCGTGGCGGTGGGCAGGCATGCATCAACACTTAAAACCTTTTAGGCAACATAAGCCTAAAACCAAAGCCAAAAAGCAAGCTTACAAAAATGGACTTATCTATAAGTTCTATGCATTGAGCTACTGCAACCTTGGTTTTAGTTAGACTTGTAGCAATTAGCTATAAACATAAACATTTCCCTGAAACCACTTAAGGTAAGGAATTTAGAGACTTCTGTGTCCCACAGCATTTTTTTGTGGTTTCTTTTGTAATCTGTCCTAAAGTGGCCAAAAAAGTCTTTATCATATCTCCATTTGCATAAACCCAATAGTGAGAACAACTATACCCAAAAGGCTTTATCACCACCTGTCTTGATATCCTCTTGGTGATTCTCCTTTAATGCTCTAGAAAGCAGGAATTTTTCCATAATTGGAATGGATGGATAATGACCCAGGAGGAAAAGTCCCTCAGTTGCCAAATGTTGAGGCATCTGTGTGCCCATTCTTCTTTTTTTGGATACGGAGTCTTGCTCTGTCACCAGGCTGGAGTGCAGTGGCACGATCTCAGCTCACTGCAACCTCTGCTTCCTGGGTTCAAGGAATCTCCTGCCTCAGCCTCCCAAGTAGCTGGAACTACAGGCATCCCCCACCACACCCAGCTAATTTTCGGTAGAGACAGGGTTTTACCTTGTTGGCCAGCAATAAGGAAATGATTCAGAACAGCTGGGCTCCCAACTAAACCCACCCTCAATCCTGGAAACTCGGCCCTAAGTGAAAACAGCTAACCCCATTTTTCTGCCCAAATGATTGCCCTTTTGGCCTTCCTCACACCCTATCCTGGGCCCATAAAAAGACCAGCTGGCAGAGCAACACAAGCGGCTGCTGCAAGTGGTTGGGGATGCAAGATGCTGAGCATCGGAATACAAGTGGCTGAACGTTGGGGATACAAGCAGATGAGCATTAAAGCCTACAGAGAGATGCAGCTAACTTCAGATGGTGTGGCTTCAGGGGAAGATCACCTTCTTGCTGCACCATCCCCTTTCTTTTTTTTTTTTTTTTTGAGACGGAGTCTCACTCTGTTGCCCAGGCTGGAGTGCAGTGGCGTGATCTCAGCTCACTGCTCACTGCAAGCTCTGCCTCCTGGGCTTAAGAGATTCTCCTGCCTCAGCCTCCCAAGTAGCTGGGATTACAGTCACCCGCCACCACGCCCAGCTAATTTTTTTGCATTTTTATTTGAGATGGGGTTTCACCATGTTGGCCAGGCTGGTCTCGAGCTCCTGACCTCAGGTGATCCATCTGCCTCAGCCTCCCACAGCCTTCCAAAGTGCTGGGATTACAGGCTTGAGCCACTGCGCCTGGCAGCACCATCCCCTTTCTAACTCCCCTTTCCACTGAGAGCCACATTTATCACCCAATAAAATCCTTCACTTATGCTACTCTTTAAATAGCTAATGTGACCTGGTTCTTCCTTTACACCGAATAAGAACTTGAGTGTCAAAAAGGGCAGGTGCGGGAAGCTGTCACTCTGACCATACACTGAGCTGTTCACACTCAGCCATCCACAGACTGCAGCCGGAGTGAAACAAACCACTCTAGTTCCTGCCCATGAAGAAGGTCAAAGTCAAGGGAACAATCCTGTCTCAGGAACACACTTTACTGGACAGGTTATCAAACACTTAAAGAAGATTTTACAAATTTAGTGGCACTACCATTGCCCTTGTTTTTCTCAGCCTTCTACAAAGGTTGAATGAACAAATGGTATCTTGAAACTAAAATTAGCTAAATCAGGCTGGGCACGGTGGCTCACATCTGTAATCCCAGCACTTTGGGAGGCCGAGGCGGGTGGATCACTTGTCAAGAGTTCGAGACCAGCCTGGCCAACACGGTGAAACCCCTTCTTTTCTAAAGGTACAAAAAGAAGCTGGGCATGGTGGTGCATGCCTGTATTCCCAGCTACTAGGGAGGTTGAGGCAGGAGAATCACTTGAACCCAGGAGGCAGAGGTTGCAGTGAGCCGAGATCGCACCATTGTACTCCGGTCTGGCAGACAGAGGAAGACTCTGTCTCAATAAAAATAATAATAAAAATAAAATAAAATTAGCTACATCTACAGGGAAGACTAGATTACACTAACCGAAAGTTTTTTTTTGTTTTTTATTTTTGAGACGGAGTCTTGCTCTGTCACCGAGGCTGGAGTGCAGTGGCATGATCTTGGCTCACTGCAAGCTCTGCCTCCTGGGTTCATGCCATTCTCCCGCCTCAGCCTCCTGAGTAGCTGGGACTACAGGCACCTGCCACCACGCCTGGCTAATTTTTTTTCTATTTTTAGTAGAGATGCGGTTTCACCATGTTAGCCAGGATGGTGTCGATCTCCTGACCTCATGATCTGCCCGCCTCGGCCTCCCAAAGTGCTGGGATTACAGGCGTGAGCAGCCGTGCCCTGCTAACCAAAAGTTTTACTACTGAATTTTTTTTTTTTTTTTTTGAGATAGAGTCCCCCGGCCGGGCGCGGTGGCTCACGCCTGTAATCCCAGCACTTTGGGAGGCAGAGGCAGGTGGATCATGAGGTCAGGAGATCGAGACCATCCTGGCTAACACAGTGAAACCCCGCCTCTACTAAAAATACAAAAAATTAGCCGGGCGTGGTGGCGGGCGCCTGTAGTCCCAGCTACTTGGGAGGCTGAGGCAGGAGAATGGCGTGAACCTGGGAGGCGGAGCTTGCAGTGAGCCGAGATTGCGCCACTGCACTCCAGCCTGGGCAGCAGAGCGAGACTCCGTCTCAAAAAAAAAAAAAAAAATGAGATAAAGTCTCCCTCTGTCACCAGGCTGGAGTGCAGTGGCACCATCTCTGCTCACTGCAACCTCTGCCTCCCGGGTTCAAGCGATTCTCCTGCCTCAGCCGTCCAAGTAGCTGTAACTACTGGTTTACACCACCATGCCGGGCTAATTTTTGTATTTTTAGTAGAGACGGGGTTTCACCAAGTTGGCCAGGCTGGCCTCGAACTCCGTACCTCAAGTGATCCTCCCACCTTGGCCTTCCAAAGTGCTGGGATTACAGGTGTAAGCTACCGTGCCTGGCCTCAAACTGAACATTCTCAAAGTTCTACTGTTCAAAGTTTAGCTTCTTTCACTAAGCAAATCAATTGCTGGCTATGTAAACATTTTTTTTTTAATCTTTGTTTTTGTTTTCCTTTTTCGAGACAGGGTCTTGTTTTGCAACCCAGGCTGGAGTGAAGTGGCACGATCACGGCTTATTGCAGCCTTGACCTGCCAGTCTCAATCAATCCTCCAAATCAATCTCCTAAATAGCTAGGATTACAGGTGTGTGCCACCACACCTGGTTAGGTTTTGTGTTTTTTTATTTTTTTGTAGAGACAGGGTTTCACCATGCTGCCCTGGCTGGTCACTAACTCCTGGCCTCTGGGCTTAAGCAATCTGCCTGACTCGGCCTCCAAAAGTTCTGGGATAACAGGTGTGAGCCACCAAGCAGGGCCTGGAAATTTATTTCTGTGCATAGAAAACCTTAGTGCAACTGGGTTGATCTAGGCAGTGTTCCAGACTCCCTCTGTAATCAGACTCTTTGGTTTGACACACATTATGGAGATTGGAAGCCAATGTGTAAGGGAAATAGATATAAAATTAGAACATGACCACTACTTAGGAGGCTGCAGCAGAAGGATCACTTGAGTCCAGGAGTTCAAGGCTGCTATGAGCTATGATTATGCCACTGAACTCTAGCCTCGGCAACAGAGTGAAGAAGACCTTATCTCAAAAAACAAAACAAAATAAAACAAAAACAAAAACAAAAACAAACAAACAAAACAACAGTCAGAGGTAGTAGTTCATGCCTGTAATCCCAGCACTTTAGGAGGCTGAAGAGGGCAGATCACTTGAGATCAGGAGTTCAAGACCAGCCTGGTCAACATGGTGAAACCCCATCTCTACTAAAAGTACAAGAAAAATTAGCTGGGTGTAGTGGCAGGCCCCTGTAATCCCAGCTAATTGGGAGGCTGAGCCAGGAAAATCGCTTGAACCCAGCAGGTAGAGGTTGCAGTGAGCCGAGATGGCAACACTACACTCCAGCCTGGGCAACAGAGTGAGACTCTGTCTCAATCAAAGCAAAACAAAACAAAGCAAAACAAAACAAAACAAAACAACAAAACAAAACGAAACAATACATGAGCATGATCATGTTACCCTCTACTACGTAATCAACGTCTTACTAAAACCAGACATTGGTGGCCGGGCACAGTGGCTCTCATCTGTTATCCCAGCATTTTGGGAGGCCGAAGCAGGCAGATCACCTGAGGTCAGGAGTTCAAGACCAGCCTGGCCAACGTGGTGAAACTCCGTCTCTACAAAAAATACAAAAAAATCAGCTGGGCATTATGGCGAGTGCCTGTTATTCCAGCTACTTGGGAGGCTGAGGCAGGAGAATCGCTGGAACCTGGGAAACAGAGGTTGCAGTGAGCTGAGATGGTGCCATTGCACTCCAGCCAGGGTAACATAACAAGACTCCGTCTCAATAAAAAACCCAAAAAACAAAAAACTAAAAAACTAGACATTGGTTTAATGGAAACATGAGAGGCAAAGGGATTGTCTCTACAGTTCTACTATATGAAATAAATAATAGCTTCTTTTGTTTGTTTGTGTTGTTTTTGTTTTTTTGAGACAGAGTCTCACTCTGTTGCCCAGGCTGGAGAGCAATGGCATGATCTTGGCTCACTGGAACCTCTGCCTCCTGGGTTCAAGCAGTTCTCCTGCCTCAGCCTCCAAGTAGCTAGGATTACAGGTGCTCTCCACCACACCTGGCTAATTTTTTGTATTTTCAGTAGAGACGAGGTTTTGCCATGTTGGCCAGGCTGGTCTGAAACTCCTGAGCCCTAGTGATCCATCCACCTTGGCCTCCCAAAGTGTTGGGATTACAGGCGTGAGCCACTGCGCCCGGCCAATAGTTTGGTTTATTAGATGCATCAATAATCAGGGCATTTTGTAGAGGAACCTACTTATCCTTTAATGGAGATAGCATGCAATGGCTACTTCATCTAATTCATTAAAATACTTTTTCTTCCTACATTTATTTATTTATGTATTTATTTTATTTTATTTTTTTTGAGATGGAGTTTCACTCTTGTTGCCCAGGCTGGAGTGCATTGGTGTGATCTCAGCTCCACACCTCTGCCTCCCTGGTTCAAGCGATTCTCCTGCCTCAGCCTCCCTAGTAGCAGGGATTACAGGCATGTGCCACCACGCCCGGCTAATTTTGTATTTTTAGTAGAGATGGGGTTTCTCCATGTTGGTCAGGCTGGTCTTGAACTCCCGACCTCAGGTGATCCACCCACCTCGACCTCCCAAAGTGCTGGGATTACAGGTGTGAGCCACTGTGCCCAGCCTTATTTATTTATTTATTTATTTATTTATTCATTTATTTATAAGACAGGTTCTCACTCTGTCACCCAGGCTGGAGTGCAGTGGCAGATCTCAGCTCACTGCAACCTCTGCCTCCTGGGCTCAAGTGATCCTTCCACCTCAGCCCCCCAAGTCACTGAGAGTACAGGTGCATGCCACCATGCCCAGCTAATTTTTGTATTTTTTGTAGAGATGAGGTTTTGCCACATTGCCCAGGCTGGTCTTGAACTCCTGGACTCAACAATCTGCCCACTTTGGCTTTCCAAATGCTGGGATTACTGGTGTTAACCACCATGCTTGCTCCTCTATCCCAATTTAAACCACAATCACACAATCTGGTGTCAATGGAAATTAAGGCTGTTGAGGGAGAAATAATTTGATACAAGTTTATTGGAAGCTGAATGTGAGAATTGACCCAGGAACATACAGCAACAAAGTGGGTGTGTTCCAAAGTCTATTATAAGTTGGAATGCTTTCATGAGAGAGTGTAGAAGGCAGTGGGACTCCTCATAGCTGAGTTGTCCTTCAGTGATGGGTACAACACAGAGGTTACAATCATTGACCAAGGTTGACAATGAACAGGCCAAAATGCTTGAAGTGCAAGACAGTTAAACTTCATGATCAAAATCAAATCAGCGTCCTTCTCAATGTCAGAAGGTGAAGCCTTTGTCAGTACTTGAAGAGTTTGAGAAGCTCATGATCAGATGATTTACTCAGGGACAGGATGTAAGCCATGAATCCTAAGCCCTTCCCCAGATGGTTGGTTTGGAAGCCCGCCAACTGTGATTTGCAGGTTTTTGTTTTTGTTTTTGCTTTTTTGAGATGGAGTCTCACTCTGTCACCCAGGGTGGAGTGCAATGGTGCAGTCTTGGCTCACTGCAATGTCCACCTCCCTTGTTCAAGCAATTCTCCTGCCTCAGCCTCCCAAGCAGCTGGGATTACAGGCATGCCCCAACACACCTGGCTAATTTATATATATGTATATATTTTTTAGTAGAGATGGGGTTTCACCATGTTGGCCAGGCTGGTCTTGAACTCCTGGCCTTAGGTGATTCTCCCGACTTGGCCTCCTAAAGTGTTGGGATTACAAGTGTGAGCCACCAAGCCTGGCCGATCTGCAGGATTTCACTGGCAATGTGCAGACGTAGCTATGATGAAGAATAACCATGACCGTCCCATTACCTCCGACTGGTGGAGAATGGGATCCTTTGACCCTTTCTCACCCTAAAACTGGGTTACTCATCTGTGTGTCAACAAAAATATGGTGTACTTAACAGACAGAGAAAGAGACTCAGTAAAAAAGGATTTTTTTCTTATGAAATGAGCAAAGCAATGGGAATAGGTGTGAGACTATTCAGGGAGGTCAAGGAAGACAAGGGTTTTGAAAGGAAAAATAAGGAGGATTACATAAGTGGTTCTGAAGGCATCCTCCTTGGCCATAAGGATCACAGTTAAGGTGGCATTGGCCAATGTTGGAAAGAGTCTCCCTCATGCCCACAAAAACCCAACACATTGACCATGCCTTGGTTCAATCTCAAGGTCCCATTGGAACACTAAGCCCAACCCAGCCCAGCCCAGCCACCACCCTTACTTCTCTTTGTAATTGTTACCTGATTTCCTCCAGAGAAACCTGGAACAAAATCTTGAGACCAATCACACCCTTAGTGGTACCTCTCTTCCACACAAATGAGCATACGATTTCCTCATATGGGTAACTTAAATCCCAAATGACCAATATATACACGAACATTTAAATTCAATTTTGTAGGGATAAAACCACTGCCTTCATGAAGCTGTTTTTTGTTTTGTTTGTTTTTGTTTTTGATACAGGCTCTGTCGCTCAGCCCAGAGGGCAATAGATTGATCTAGGCTCACTGCAACCTCTGCATCGTGGGGATCAAAAAATGGATCTTCCCATTTCAGCCTCCAGAGTAGCTGGGACCACAGGTGTGTGCCACCATGCTTCACTGATTTTTTTTTTTTTTTTGAGATGGTGTCTCCCTCTGTCACCCAGGGTGTAGTGCAGTGGCATGATCTTGGCTCACTGCCACCTCCACCTCCCGGGTTCAAGTGATTCTTCTGCCTCAGACTCCTGAGTAGCTGGGACTAGAGGTGCATCCCACCATGCCCAGCTAATTATTGTATTTTTAGTAGAGACGGGGTTTCACCGTATTTGCCAGGCTGGTCTCGAACTGCTGACCTCATGATCTGCCTACCTTGTCCTCTCAAAGTGCCAGGATTACAGGCTTGAGCCACCGCACCTGGCTTATAAAGTTTAAACTCTGAAATATTTTTATTTTTATTTATTTATTTATTTATCTTGAGACTGAGTCTTGCTCTGTCACCCAGGCTGGAGTGCAGTTGTGCGATCTTGGCTCACTGCAAGCTCCGCCTCCCAGGTTCTTGCCATTCTCCTGCCTCAGCCTCTGGAGTAGCTGGGAATAAAGGCACCCACCACCATGCCTGGCTAATTTTTTGTATTTTTGGTGGAGACAGGGTTTCAGTGTTAGCCAGGATGATCTCGATCTCCTGACCTCGTGATCCACCCGCCTCAGCCTCCCAAAGTGCTGGGATTATAGGTGTGAGCCACAGTGCCTGGCTGAAACCTTTTATAATTTTGTTTTGTTTTGCTTTTTGAGGCAGAGTCTCTCTCTGTCACCTAGGCTGCAGTGCAGTGGCATGATCTTGGCTCACTGCAACCTCCGCCTCCTGGGTTCAAGTGATTCTCCTGCCTCAGCCTCCTGAGTAGCTGGGACTACAGGCGCCCACCACCACACCCGGCTAATTTTTGTATTTTTAGTAGAGACAAGGTTTCACCATGTTGGCCAGGATGGTCTCGATCTCCTGACTTCGTGATCCACCGCCTGGGCCTCCCAAAGTGCTGGGATTACAGGCATGAGCTACCGCGCCTGGCCCATTTTGATAATTTTGATGGGGCCAAAGATTTCCCCAACATTAATCTTTTTAGGTTTTGTTTTTCTCTCTAATGTCAGGAACAGAGTGAGAGTTCCCTGTCTCACACTCAGGACAAAGAAGGTCACATACTGGTAAATTCCATCAGTGTTTGTTAGGGTGGAAGTCAAGAATTCACTCATTAATGCCCTCCAGAAGCAGAGATGGAGTGGTAGTAATATGTGACCTTCCTAGTCCTGAGTGGAAGACAGGGAAGGGTTCAACCTATTCCTGAGATTAGACAGAAAAGCAAAACCGGAAAATATTATGGTTGGGAGTTCTTTGGTGACATCAAAATCATCAAAATGAGTTCTTGACTTCCACCCTAATTACAGTGCTTTCAGTTTCATGATTGGATATCTGATTCAATCCATTATTCTGCAGAAAGCCAAAACTTCAATCAGGCTTAACTGGGTGGAATTCAGAAATCCCATCAGGCATCACTTTCTGATAGGAATCTGGAAGTTGATAAAGGAGGTGGGATTAGGAAAGTCCAAGAAAGTTGCTGGGAGCCGTGGCTCATGCCTGTAATCCAGCACTTTGGGAGGCTGAGGGGGAGGGTGGGTCATGAGGTCAGGAGTTCCCAAGACCAGCCTGGCCAATATGGTGAAACACCATCTCTGCTAAAAATACAAAATTAGCTAGGTGTGGTGGCGCATGCCTGTAATTCCGGCTACTTTGGAGGCTGAGACAGGAGAATCACTTGAATCCAGGAGGTGGAGGTTGCGGTGAGCCGAGATCACGCCATTTTACTCCAAACTGGGCAACAAGAGCAAAACTCCATCTCAAAAAAACAGAAAGGTCCAAGAAAGCTTGTGAACATCCACAGAAGAAACCCCAAGCTGTGGTACCTGGAGTTATTGCTTGATTCTCCAAGAGGTCCGAGCAGACTGCAAAGTGAGTCCAGATCTGGTAAGTCAGGTACCTTCACAAGGGCACTCCTATGACCCACAGTCAGCCAGTAGAGGGCGACATGAAGGCCAAGGTGGCACAGAGAATTTTCTTGCCTGTTTTTCAGATGAACAGATGTAGGCTTTAATTTTTTCTCTAATGCAGTTTTATCTCTTCACTCCAAATATTTTATTTGTGTTTAGTTTATGTCATTTCAAATGTTTTTTTTTTTTTTTTCTGAGATGGAGTCTTGCTCTGTCACCCAGGCTGGAGTGCAATGATGAGGTCTCGGCTCACTGCAACCTCTGCCTCCTAAGTTCAAGCAATTCTCCTGCCTCAGCCTCCTGAGTAGCTGGGATTACAGGTGCCCACCACCATGCCCGGCTAATTTTTGTATTTTTAGTAGAGACAGGGTTTCACCATGTTGGCCAGGCTGGTCTCGAACACCTGACCTCGTGATCTGCCCACCTAGGCCTCTCAAAGTGCTGGGATTATAGGTGTGAGCCACCATGCCCAGCTTCAGAGTTCCAAATCAAGCAGTTGAAAAATAATGCAATTGACTGAAGTCTTTTTTTTTTTTTCTTTGAGACATTGTCTTCCTGCGTCATTCTTGGTGGAATGCAGTATTGTGATCTCGACTCACTGCAACCTCTGCCTTCTGGGCTCAAGCCATCCTCCCTACTCAGAAGTTCTAGCCTTCTGAATAGCTGGAATTCAGGCATGCACTAGTATAACTGGCTAATTTTTTTGATTTTGTTTTTTTCTTTTTTTTTTTTTTTTGAGAGAGAGTCTCACTCTGTTGCCCAGGTTCGAGTGCAGAGGCATGATCTTGGCTCACTGCAAATTCTGCTTCCCGGGTTCAAGTGATTCTCCTGCTTCAGCCTCCCAAGTAGCTGGGACTGTGGGTGTGTGCCACCACACCTGGCTAATTTTTGTATTTTTAATAGAGATAGGGTTTCACTATGTTGGCCAGGCTGGTCTTAAACTCCCAAACTCAGGCGATCTGCCCGCCTCAGTCTCACAAAGTGCTGAGATTACAGGTGTGAGCCACCGTGCCAGGCCTATTATTATTATTTTTTATAGTGATGAGGTCTTGGTTTGTTACCTAGGCTGGTCTGGGACACCTAGATTCAAGCAAACCTCCCACTTTGCCTCCTAAAGTCTTGGGATTACAGGCATGAGCCAACATGACTGGTCTCATACACCATTTTCAAGAATGGAGTCTTTGTTCTGAATGTGGGATCCATTTGTTTCTCTAGACTCCATTCCAAAGTGGGTAATATTTTATTTATTTATTTATTTTATTAAGACAGAGTCTTGCTGTTCTGCCCAGGCTAGGGGTACAGTGGCAGAGTCTCAGATCACTGTAACTTCTGCTTCACAGACACAAGCCATCCTTCCACCTCAGCCTGCAGAGCAGCTGGGACTACAGGTGTGCGCCATCACATCCATCTATTTTTTGTATTTTTTTGGAGAGACAGGGTCTCACTATGTAGCCCAGGCTGGTCAGCAACTCCAGGGCTTAAGTGATTGTTCTGCCTTGGCTTGCCAAAGTGTTGGAATTACAGCTGTGAGCCTCCATGTGTGGCCCCTCATTACTCTTTTGAAAGTGAACATAATGGTGTCTAATTAAAAATATCCCTTTAGTCTCTCCCAGCCAAGTTCACTGTGGGAACTGAGACTGTAGACTGTTTGGGGCCACAGGAGACTCCCATTACCATTGTTTTATTGTTTTATTTTATTTATTTATTTTTTTGAGACTGAGTCTCGCTCTATTGCCCAGGCTGGAGTGCAGTGGCACTGTCTGAGCTCACTGCAACCTCCGCCTCCTGGGTTCCAGTGATTCTTGTGCCTCAGCCTCCCGAGTAGCTGGAGTTACAGGCACCTGCCACCATGCCTGGTTACTTTTTGTGTTTTTAGTAAAGACTGGGTTTCACCTTGTTGGCCAGGCTGGTCTCTAACTCCTGACCTCAAGTGAGCCACCCGCCTTGGCCTCCAAAGTGCTGGGACTACAGTTGTGAGCCACCAAGCCCAGCCACATGACCATTGCTTTAGATCCTTAAATTGAGAAGACATTTTTTTCTCAAAAAAGGAGCTGAGCTTTGAAGATTCTTGGTAACACTTCCCAGAGCTAATAGAGTTGGGTGGAGAAATTAATGAAAATTCATGGAGTAGGAGTGATCTTGCCCGTTCCTTGGAGGTTGGGAGACACTCTTCTTGGTACCAGAAGGGCAGAACTATGTCTCTGTGGCCAATTATTGCAGAGTCGAATTGGGGTAAACTAAGGACTTTCACACCTGCCAGAGTAGTGACTTTTGGCCCAGGAGAAGTCAGGGTGTGAGAGGACTGGCCTGATAAGTTTGTCTTCTCTGGATTTGTTTTCTTGCAGATTTATCAGGATGAGCTTCCAGGCCCCACGCAGACTCCTGGAGCTGGCAGGGCAGAGCCTGCTGAGGGACCAGGCCTTGGCCATCTCCGTCCTGGATGAGCTGCCCAGGGAGCTCTTCCCCCCACTGTTCGTGGAGGCCTTCACTAGCAGACGCTGCGAGGTTCTGAAGGTGATGGTGCAGGCCTGGCCCTTCCCCTGCCTCCCTCTGGGGTCCCTGATGAAGACGCCTGATCTGGAGATCTTACATTATGTAGTGGATGGGATTGATTGCCTGCTTGCCCAAAAGGTTCGCCCCAGGTGAGGTGACCCAGGTGGGGAGGGCCCAGGTGTCCAGGGACTAAACAGCTGGGTCAGACAAATTGGGAACCCGGGGTGGCCCAGGGGCTTCTGATGGTGCCAGTGAGAAAGCTGGGAACGTTCTTGGCTATTGCCCAGCTCCTCTGGGAAAGGACTGCTCACCATACAGGGTCCACTGAGGAAACAGGAACCTGCCTGCTCCCAGTGGAAGGTAAAGGCACTAGAAGTGGGTACCAGGCAGAATCCAAGGGGGAAAGGGATGGAGAAGAGACAGAAGGAGGGGCGCTGAGGAAAAAAGCAGCTGAAGTCCTTGATGTGGAGTGAAAGCCCAGGTCAGGGGTGGGTCCTTGTCTACGTTCTGAGCTTTTCCCCTATGTTACTCACAGGAGGTGGAAACTTCAAGTGCTGGAAATGCGGGATGTTGATGAGAATTTTTGGACCATATGGTCTGGAGCCAGGCTCCTGTCCTGCTCCCCAGAGGCCATGAGTAAGAGACAGACAGTGGAGGACTGTCCAAGGACAGGAGAGAAGCAGCCCTTGAAGGTGTTCATGGATGTTTGCCTCAAGGAAAAATTCATGGATGAAGATCTGAGCTTCTTCTCTGGGTGGGTGCAGCACAGAAGAGGTTCAGTACACCTGTGCTGTACTAAGGTGGTGAATTATTCAATGAGCATTCTAAATTTCAGAAACATATTGGAAACAGTATACCCAGACAGTATCCAAGTGTTGGAAATTTGGAACATGTGCTGGCTGTGTATGATAGTAGAGTTTAGCCGTTACCTGAGCCAGATGAGGAATCTTCGCAAACTCTTCATCTCTGATGGCTGTCGTTACCTGCTAAGCTCTGACAGCCAAGAACAGTTAGTTGCTGAATTCAGCTCTGTGCTCCTCAGGCTGGAGAACCTCCAGATGCTTTATGTAAGAAGGGTCTGCTTCTTCAGAGGCCACCTGGACCAGCTGATCAGGTGAGGAAGGATGGTGAGCTTTCTCTGGGGGCCATAGCACAGCCTTTTTTTGTTACAATAAACACCAATCAGCATCTACTGTGTGCCAGCCACTGGAGATGTCTAGGGAAGGGGACACTAGAATGCATTGTCCTGTTTGGTGCTCTATATCCTGAAGTGGGTATCACAGGATCGCTCCAGTAAGGGCAGAGGGATGACCTGGGGTAGAAGCTACAGAGAGGGACATCGTGTAGGGAGCTGGTTAGTGGAGGGTTCAGCTCTAGTGAGGGTGAATTCCTTTTAGGAATTCCTTGTTAGGAAGTGTGTTTAAAGTTAATATGATAAAAAAGAGGCAACAGAGGGGAGGGTGTAAAAGAAGAGAAAGTGCACCAAACCTGTGCGTTTCACAGAGGAAGCTCTGTCCTCACAGCTTAGTGAACATGAATGATCCTCTCTCTGATTCCCTGTCTGTAAAAGGTTGTTTTGAACTCCAGGAAAGGTAAGTGACATGGGAAATGCGTGCTTCTGGGATGGAGGTGAGGGAGTAGGCACGAGAGTGGTACAAAGTGACAGGTGGTTTGCAGATGTGGCCATGTCAGGGAGCCTCTGAAAGCAGGTAGCCCTAGCTGATGTCCCTAGACCTTGCTCAGGTCAGTTCTTTGGGCATCTCTTCCACTGGGCTCCTGTGGCCCAGAGATGAAGCTTTCTGCTGGAAGATGAAGAAAAAAGGCTTTAGAGTTTTTATGGCCTTGAACCAATCACACCAGTGATGGTGAAAGGACTGAGCCTAAAATGGGACTGCCTCTGAATGATCCAAGTCCTCATCAGGCAGCACCTTGCGGGAGGACCATGATTAGATGATGAGAACAAACTTGTGTTTGGGCAAAACAGGCTCTTCCCTTGACGTTATTTTCTACCACCGTCCTCTAACTGGTGCCATTGCCCAGTACTAACTTCTTGCTCTCCCCAGGTGCCTCAGGAGCCCGTTGGAGACATTGGCATTAACTTATGGCTTCCTAGAAGAAGAGGACTTGAAATGCCTGCCCCGGTACCCAAGTCTCAGTCAACTGAAGCAGCTGAATCTGAGTCATGGTGCACTGCGCTTCATCCGTCTTGAGCCCCTCCGAGCTCTGCTAGAGAAAGTTGCTGCCACTCTTCAGACCCTCTTCTTAGTGGACTGTGGGATTGGGTACTCCAAACTCAGGGTCATCCTGCCTGCCCTGAGCCGCTGCTCCAACCTCACCACTTTCTGTTTTCACGGCAATGACACGTCCATGGATGCTCTGAAGGACCTGCTGCGCCACACAGGCAGGCTGAGCAATTTGAGCCTGGAAACATATCCTGCCCCTCGGGAGAGTCTTGACAACAGGGGTCGTGTCATTTTGGAGCTCCTCACCCCACTTCAGGCTGAGCTGATGCGTATACTGAGGGAAGTAAGGGAGCCCAAAAGGATCTTCTTTGGTCCGGTGTCCTGCCCTTGCTGTGGCACTTCGCCCACTGAGCAACTGGAGTTCAATTTTTGCTTGTGGGGAAGGCCTGCCTAGTGGGGTGGAGGTATAAAAAGCTTTTTCTCCAGGCACTTGGAAACTAAAATCTGGGACATAGATGTCTTTTATTTTTCTTTTTCCTTATTTTACAATTTTACAGCTTTTATTTAAAAATTTGAGACAGGGTTTCCCTATGTTGTCCAGGCTGGTCTCAAACTCTTACGCTTAAGGGAGCCCCCTGCTTGGCCTCCCAAGATTCTGGGATTACAGGCATAAGCAGCTGTGCCGGGTCTATAGGTGCATTATAAAGGGAACAGAGAAACCTCTGTTTCAGGCATGTGCTTTCTGTGAGTGGAAAACAAAAAACAAAAAATCCCAGCAGGGGGCAGCACTGGGGAAAAAGTTGAATGGAGTCACTGAGACTCAGGGATCTGTGTCCTAGACAGTCAGAAATAGAAAGCTGAAGTTCTAGAGTGAGGGAGTTATCTCAGCAAGGATGGATACAAAGAAACGTCGGAAGTAGAGGGAACCTAAATGGAAACTCTCTGCTGTCCTTCATGATTGATTAGCCTGTTTCAGCAATTTATACATCAGAAATCTTTAGTTCCTGATGAATTAAAAAAAGAGGTACTAGTTCATCTGTGATTTAGTTTCATCTGCAGGAAATAAAGGAATCAAAATAAACTTCATGTTGTCGTTGTGGTTTTTTTTTCTTTTTTTTTTTGTTTTGTTTTAGACGGAGATTCGCTCTTGTTGCCCAGGCTGGAGTGAAATGGCATGATCTTGGCTCACCACAACCTCCGCCTCCTGGGTTCAAGCGATTTTCCTGCCTCAGCCTCCCGAGTAGCTGGGATCACAGGCATGCGCCACCATGCCCAGCTAATTTTGTATTTTTATTAGAAACGGCATTTCTCCATGTTGATCAGGCTGGTCTCGAACTCCTGACCTCAGGTAATCTGCCCACCTTGGCCTCCCAAAGTGCTAGGATTACAGGCATGAGCCACAGAGCCTGACCTGTTTTGTTTGTTTGTTTTGTTTATTTGATGGAGTCTTGCTTGGTCACCTAGGCTGGAGTGCAGTGGTGTGATCTTGGCTCACTGCAACCTCCAACTCCCAGGTTCAAGGGAATTTGTGTTTTTAGTAGAGACGGGGTTTCACGATGTTGGCCTGACTGGTCTCAAACTCCTAACCTCAAGTGACCTCAAGGAAGCCTCCCAAAGTGCTAGGATTACAGGCGTGAACCAACGTGCCTAGCCTAAACTTTGATTAATTTATGCCCATTCTTTACCTCTCCAGTCATCTCTTCCTTACTTTCTCCTGTGGTTATTTACTGGGTTCATCCACAAAAGATGCATGCCTGGGACCTGGAACATTCTATGTGGGCAGTGATGATGAACCATTGAGTCAACCCTCTTCTTGTCAGGGGCCCTCACTGCTCCCCAGATACCGAGACCCTGCTCACTCCTAATGGGCAGATCTGGGAGAATCTGTTCCTGATCATTGGCCATGTCAGGAAAGGGCTTCACTGCACAAGGTGCGGCCCCCTGCCTTGGGAGGGAATGGCCATACTGTGTACTAGCGGGAGCCTCATGGCATCACCAACCCTTGCCTGTCCTCATGGTGGCTAGTGGGTTTTACTGAATTAACATAATTGTGTGTAGTAAAGATGTCCAATTTCTCTTAGAAGAATAGTAAAATCATTTAGGTAGATGACACATTCTAAATATTTCTAGCCCACATCAATATGCATCCTTTTGGAAATTAACTCATTTCAATGAGACATCTTCCTGTAACACCTCCCTTCTCTCCTTATCAAAAAACGGGAAAACCAGGGCACTGACCTGTCCTCATGGTGACTAGTGGGGTTTACTGAATTAAAGTGATTGTGTCCAGTAAAGATATCCAATTTCTCTTAGAATAATGCTAAAATCATTTAGGTGGATAATACATTCTAAATATTTCCAGCCCATATTAATGGAAATATACATCCTTTTGGAAACTAACTCATTTCAATGAGAGATCTTCCTATCACACCACCCTTCTCTCCTTATCAAAAAACAGGAAAACCTGGGCTTGACCTAGCTAGCGCTCCTACACTGCCATGAGAATCCCTTTGGGACTTTCCCCATTTGGGACTGGCAGCACTCTTGTGGTTTACTAAAACTTAGGTAAACCTGGGCTTAAGCCACCACCTGGAGCCAAGAAGGAAGCAGCAACCTAGTGGTGAAGATTCACTAAGGGAATGTATTCAGTCCAAACCAAAGCAAGCCAGACAGAGAAAACTGGAGTAAATCATTCTTCCTTCAGTGCAAAAATACAGATCTATATCTACAAGAAACTAGAGCAAACAGGAAACTGTGACCTCCCCAAAATGACAAAGCAGAAATCTAGTGGGTGACTCTAATGTGATGGCTATTTGTCAGGTCTCTAACCAATCACTGAAAATCGCAGGTTTTCAAACTTGTATTTTAGTTCCAGGAATACAGATGCAGGTTTGTTCTATAGATAATAGACAAACTATCAGATAAATAATTTTGGTAGCTTTTGTTTATTTGTTTGTTTGTTTGTTTTTTGAGGTGGCGTCTCACTCTGTCACCCAGGCTGGAGTGTAGTGGCATGCTCTCAGCTCACTGCAACCTCTGCCTCCCAGAGTCAAGCAATTCTCCTGCCTCGGCCTCCCAAGTAGCTGAGACTACAGACTTGCATTACCACGCCAGGCTAAGTTTTTGCATTTTTAGTAGAGACAGGGTTTCACCATGTTGGACATGGAGAACTCCTGACCTCAAATGGTGCACTGCCTCAGTGCTGGGATTAGAGGTGTGAGCCACCATGTCCAGCCAGTTTTGGTAGTTTGTTGATACCCACTCCCCTTCCACCCTCCACTCTCCAGTAGTCCCGGGCGTCTATTGTTCCCATTATTATGTCATGTATACTTAATATTTGGCTCTCATTTATAAGTGAGAACATGTGGTGTTTGGTTTTCTGTGCCTGCTTTAGTTTGCTTAGCATAACGGCTTCTAGCTCCATCCGTGTTGCAGCAAAAGGAGGATGAGGACTTAATGAAAGGGCATTATCTTGTTCTTGTTTCAAGCTGTGTAGGTTTCCATGGTGTATCTGTACCATATTTTGTTAATCCAGTCCACCACTGATGTGCATTCCAGTGGATTCCATGTCTTTGCTGTTGTGAATAGTGCTGCGATGAGCATCCACATGTGACCACTCCCACTCAACATGTGCTAGAGTCTCACATTACTGGAGTGTCTCTATATTACCCGGGCTGGTCCAGAACGGCCAGGCTCAGGCAGGGCTCCAATCTTAGCCTTACAAAGTATTGGGATTACAGGCATGAGCCACCACACATGGCTCTATTTTATTATAACATATATTTCTAGGCCGGGTGTGGTGGCTCACGCCTGTAATCCCAGCACTTTGGGAGGCCAAGGCGGGTGGATCACGAGGTCAAGAGATGGAGACCATCCTGGCCAACATGGTGAAACCCCGTCTCTACTAAAAATACAAAAATTAGCTGGGCATGGTGGCACGTGCCTGTAATCCCAGCTACTCAGGAGGCTGAGTCAAGGAGAATCGCTTGAACCCGGGAGGCGGAGATTGCAGTGAGCCGAGATCGTGCTGCTGCACTGCAGCCTGGGCAAAGAGTGAGACTCCCTCTCAAAAAAAAAAAAAAGCTATAATTCTATAGGCCAAGCAAGGTGGCTCACGCCTGTAATTCCAGCACTTTGGGAGGCCGATGTGGGTGGATTGCTTGAACCAAGGAGTTCTAGCCTGGGCAACAAAGCAAAATCCTGTCTCTACTTAAAAAGGAAAAAAAGGATATATTTCTGTAGCTTATGGCCTGTAGGCTCGCCATGCCTCAGGCTCGAAAGTGCAGCTTTCAGAAAAGATCCTTCACTGGTATTTCCAGGGAGGAAGTGATGAGGCAGGAATTTATGCTGAGTGGGTTGGCCAAGTATACACACTCAACAGGTCATGAAATGGGCTATGAGTATTCTTGAAGGGGGCCTAACACATGCATACTGAATAAACATTCATGTGGCTTATGTCCCATGTTCACTTTGGGGTGGAGACTTCACATTTCTTTTTCTTTTTGAGACAGAGTCTTGCTATGTCACCCAGGCTGGACTGCAATGGCACCGTATCAGCTCACTGCATCCTCCACCTCCCAGGTTCAAGCGATTCTCCTGTGTCAGCCAAGTAGCTGAGACTACAGGTACATGCCACCACACCTGGCTACTTTTTTTTTTTTTTTTTTTTTTTGAGATGGAGTCTTGCTCTGTCACCCAGGCTGGAGTGCAGTGGTGCAATCTCTGCTCACTGCAAGCTCCACTTCCCGGGTTCACGCCATTCTCCTGCCTCAGCCTCCCCAGCAGCTCGGACTACAGGCACACGCCGCCACGCCCAGCTAATTTTTGTATTTTTAGTAGAGACGGGGTTTCTCTGTGTTAACCAGGATTGTCTCGATCTCCTGACCTTGTGATCCGCCCTCCTAGGCCTCCCAAAGTGCTGGGATTACAGGCGTGAGCCACCGCGCCTGGCCCACTTTTTCTATTTTTAGTAGCGATAGGGTTTCACTATGTTGGCCAGGCTGGTCTGGAACGCCTGACCTCAGGTGATCTGCCGCCTCGGTCTCCCAGAGTGTTCCAAAGTGCTGGGATTACAGGCGTGAGCCACCGTGCTGCGCCGAGACTTCATGTTTCAATGCATTGCAGCTAGACCCCCCCATATCAAATGGTTCATCAGGGACATGAAGACGCTCGCGTGCTAAGTCTCTTTCAAGTGGCCAGAAGCAGTCAATGCTCAGAGGCCTCTCATCAGCAGAAAGTTACTGGAATCAATCTCTTGTCCAATCAAAGCTGGAGTCATGGCTTGTGGAACAGGGGGTCAGTTAGTCAGAATCTGGGATGGATGAGCTGCAATCATTTCAATATTGCTTATCTTAGGGCCAGTGCTTGTTCAGCTGCTAGAGAGAGAAAAACCCTGTGGCAGTTAGAATATAGTTCATTCAGCTGGGCACAGTGGCTCTTGCCTGTAATCCCAGCACTTTGGGAGGCTGAGGCGGGTGGATAATGAGGTCAGCAGGTCAAGACCAGCCTGGCCAACATGGTGAAACCCTGTCTGTACTAAAAATACAAAAAATTAGCCAGGTGTGGTGGCATGCACCTGTAATCCCAGCTACTCGGGAGGCTGAGGCAGGAGAATTGCTTGAACCTGGGAGGCAGAGGTTGCAGTGAGCCAAGATCATGCCACTGCACTTCAGCCTGGGCTACAAAGCGAGACGCTGCCTCAAAAAAAAAAAAAAAAAAAAGTATATAGTTCATTTTTTAAGGGTAGGGGCCCTTGACTTAACCCTTGCCTGGTAAGACCTTAGGTCCTGTATATAACTTGGTATCTTATTACCCTAAATAGTCAATTCAGTCAGCCTTATAATCTCTATTTTAACATGAATGCTGGTCAGTTTTTGTGTCTCAACCATGAAAGGAAGGAAGTAAAATGAGACGTGTCTATCCTCCCATCCTGCCATGGCCAGGAACTCAGTTTTAAAGATTTCTCTGGGTACACTTGGCCGAGAGGGAATCTGTTCAGTTCATAGGGGGAGCTTAGGATTTTATTTTTAGTTTTCAGAACGAGGGATGAATAATCATGGAGGCTTCTGCTGGGAGGGAAAAAGTAGAAAAAATGCATTAATTTCACTCTTCCTGTATGCCAGGCCCTATGCCAAGCCCTTAAGTTGCCCCATCTCATTCGATTCTACCAGGGTCACACAGGTGGTGGACATCATCATCCTCATTTTTCAGGAAAACTGAGGCTCTCGCCCAAGGTTCCTGCCCAACAACACCAGGCCCTGAGTTCTCAGCATGGTCCTCACTCAGATACTCTTTGTGTAGGGTTTCTTACCTGAGTCCTCAGCAGGGTCCTCACCTGGATGCCGTTTGTGTAGGGTTTCTCATCTGAATCCTCTGCAGGGTCCTCACTCGGATGTCCTTTGTGTAGGGTTTCTCACCTGAGTCCTCAGCAGGGTCCTCACTTGGATGCCCTTTGTGTAGGGTTTCTCATCTGAGTCCTGAGCAGGGTCCTCACTCAGATGTCCTTTGTGTAGGGTTTCTCATCTGAGTCCTGAGCAGGGTCCTCACTCGGATGTCCTTTGTGTAGGGTTTCTCACCTGAGTCCTCAGCAGGGTCCTCACTTGGATGTCCTTTGTGTAGGGTTTCTCATCTGAGTCCTGAGCAGGGTCCTCACTCGGATGCCCTTTTTGTAGGGTTTCTCATCTGAGTCCTGAGCAGGGTCCTCACTCGGATGTCCTTCGTGTAGGATTTCTCACCTGAGTCCCCAGCAGGGTCCTCACTCAGATGCCCTTTGTGTAGGGTTTCTCACCATAGGGAAAGTCACTCATCACCCACAGGCACTTGACTATTATCTGCCCTCGAAGGATGTGCGATTCCAAAACACGCTTGCTCTGAGAAAAACCAGGGCCGTATCATTTTCCCCGCCAAACCGGAAAGGAGCCAAGAGATCAAAGGATGACTCAGATGAGCCCAGCTTGGCAAATAATGAGTTGATTAGGATTCACATGCAGGGCACTCCAGGGCAGCAGCAGCACAGCCCCAAAGATCTGTGCCACCTCCTGTCTCTAAACTGCTTTTAAGTGAATTTTCTGGCTCTTTGTCCACTGATTTTGAGCAATCAGCCTCTTCTGCCTGGTAGGTTCTCAGATACTGTCTGGGATGTTTGGGTTCTCGGGGACACCTGCTTCTTGGCTGGGCACAAGAGACTTGGCTTCCCACCTGGCCTTCAGGGTTCAGGCAGGGGACATGCACCCTTAAGTAACCTGATGGGACATGCCACACCAGAATTCTATACACTTGAAGTGGGGCCAGCCTCTCCACACCTGTGGTTACTTCTCATCAGGTGGGATGAGAGACTGAGGAAAGAAATAAGACACAGAGACAAAGTATAGAGAAAGAAATTGGGCCCAGGGGACCGGCGCTCAGCATACGGAGGACCTGCACTAGCACTGGTCTCTGAGTTCTCTCAGTTTTTATTGATTACTGTTTTCACTATCTCATCAAGGGGAACGTGGCAGGAGAGCAGGGTGATAGAGGGGAGAAGGTCAGCAAGAAAACATGTGAGCAAAGGAATCTGTGTCACAAATAAGTTCAAGGGAAGGTTCTATGCCTGGATGTGCACATAGGCCAGATTTATGCTTTTCTCCACCCAAACATCTCAATGGAGTAAAGAGTAACAAAGCAGCATTGCTCCCAACATGTCCCACCTCCTGCCACAAGGCGGTTTTTCTCCTATCTCAGAATGGAACAAATGTACAGTCGGGTTTTATACCAAGACATTGCATTCCCAGGGGCAGGCAGGAGACAGAGGTCTTCCTCTTATCTCAGCTGCAAGAAGCCTTCCTCTTTTACTAATCCTCCTCAGCACAGACCCTTCACGGGTGTCGGGCTTGGGGACGGTCAGGTCTTTCCCATCCCATGAGGTCATATTTCAGACTATCACATGGGGAGAAACCTTGGACAATACCTGGCTTTCCAGGGCAGAGGTCCCTGCAGCTTTCCACAGTGCATTGTGCCCCTGGTTACTTGAGAATGAAGAACGGCGATGACTTTTATCAAGCACACTGCCTGTAAATATTTTGTAAACAAGGCACATCCTGCACAGCCCTAGATCCCTTAAACCTCGATTCCATACAACACATGTTTCTGTGAGCTCAAGGTTGGGGCTAAAGTTACAAATTAACAGCATCTCAGGGCAAAGCAATTGTTCAGGGTACAGATAAAAATGAAATTTCTTATGTCTTCCTTTTCTACATAGACACAGTAACCGTCTGATCTCTCTTTCTTTTCCCTACATATCCCCCTTTTCTTTTTGAGAAAACCGCCATCATCATCATGGCCCGTTCTCACTGGTCGCTCTCTCTTTGGAGCTGCTGGATACACCTGTAGACTAACAACAGACAAAACAGATATACCAGGATTAATATGAAATTACAACAGTTGAATTTCTGATGGTTTTAACCCAAGTGACAGGGTTAAGATTTGTGAGGCCATCAGCAACTTTCATGATTGCCTCAGTTTCTGGCACCAAATTTAAATGGGCTTTTGATGCCTCAAAAACTTGTTCTTTTAATTTTAAAATATCTAAAGTAAGATTATCTTCTCTTCCTTGTAGTTGGCGTCATGTCCCAGTGATGCTCAGACTCATTATACGCTTGGGGTTTAATACAAAAATCTGACATATTCCAGTCATACTGTAACTGAAAAAGATATTCCAAGCTCATGAGCCTATCTCCCATCCAAATGACAGTTTGTCTAAGATCATTAATTTGGTTTGCCAATTTTTGATCTATTTGGGTCTGAGAATTCCACAATTTTGAGGAATTCTTTTGCCAATTATTTACATATTCTGCAGTTTGAACAGAGAAGTGTAAAGCAATTCCAGCAGCCACAGCAGTAGCTGTGACTGCAATAAGACCCAAAATCACTGCAATCAAAGTAAAAAAGAATCTTTTGGATCTAGTTAGAACTCCTTTCAATACTTCTGTTAAAATATGGACAGATGGGGAAGCCTCCCACTGTCAGTCCATGGACACAGGGATCCCCATGCCCTCTCTTGCCCTCACCAGCAGAATACGGTGCTGCCAATCAAAAGTCGAATCAATGCAAGTAAACAATCTACTGTTTTCACAGGTTATAGTTTGGGAATCTGGTTTAATAACTATGTTTCCTACAACTAGCATATAAGGGGGTTTTACACAACTTTGCAAAGGAATTGTCGGATTGGAATTTAAGTTAATAGTATAATATGGCTTACGATCTCTTGTTCCTATAGCTTGATTTTCAGACCAAATTCTAATGTGGTGTGAGGCCACAGTAAGCTTTCATAATTCTGGATGTTCAGGACCAGTAACAGGACTAACTAACTTTGGTCGAGGTGATGAAATTCGCTTTTCACCCCATTTCCATGGATAGGGTGATTGTAACTTTCTATAAACCTGATCCAGCCTTTCAGTTAAATCACTCTCATAGGCCAGATTAATGGGCCAGATGGATGGGGCTGTGAACATGAGAGAGTCTGGCCTGTACAATTATAATAAAATTGGCCTCGAGGGGCCCGGTCTATAATAGTTCTAAATTCATTGTTTTGTAATACCACCGCAGTATCAGCCACACATTCTTCCCAAACTGAAACTTTTGGACCTTTTGATTCTTTGGGAATTTTCTTGGGGCAAGGCTTCCCCTTAGGCCTAAATTTTAATGATCTTTGATAAGAAGAGTCCTGTAAATTATTTTATCTGTGGCCCGAGTGACATCCCACTTACTATGTGATAAGTAAATCTACTGGTGGCACTGACAGTAGGTACTTCTACCAACCAATTTGGGGTTGTAGGCATTAAATATCCTGGCACCTTCCCTTGGCAAATAGGAGGATAATGATACCCAGTGGAAATATTTATCATCAATTCTTTTTTAGGTTGGGCAGGGCAACGATCATCTGTGAGGCCTGGTACCCATGCACTATTATTAACATATACTTCAATAGGATTATCCATCCATGTGACTGCCTGAATTAAGGGCGGGAAAGGCACACAGTCCCGGTAAGTATGATTAGTTGTGGCTGCTCCTGCAGTCACAGGGAGACTTACCACCGTTGATACAATCATCAAAGCTGCAGGCAGCATGTTCTCTGGAGTTTGTGTTACCCTTTTTGTTCTTCAGGCTTTTTTCAGCTAACTGTGTCAGCTTCTTTAATTGGGCCCAGGTCAGTGGCCCCACTTTCTTGGTGGATGGCAGCTTCATCTGTTCTTCTGATACCACCATTTTGTTCACCCGGTGAGTCGATGATGCTCGATTGCGGGTTTTCCATCTCCGTGGTGGCGCTTCTCTTTGCATCTCCGATGGGTTCATTGTAGAACTTTAAATGTCTAGTGGGTATCCAAACAGGAAGCTGATTTTCTCCTGGTGAAACACAAGCAAAACCTCTCCCCCATGTTATCATTTTCCCTATTTCCCTTGTCTTATTTTTGTTGTCTTTCCACCAAATCAGTTTTCCTTCATGTGGGCTGTTCTTTTTACCAGTAAAATGTTGCTCTGCAGAAGTAGTGGTCTGATTTCTATAAATGTTTAAAAAATTTAAAGTATAGAGTGCTAAATTAAGTTGCATCTGGGGAGTGTTATACTGCTTAATGTCTTTTTCCTTTTTTTGTTTCACCAATTCAGCTTTGAGTGTTCTATTAGTTCTTTCAATTATGGCCTGTCCTTGGGAATTATAGGGGATTCCTGTTGTATGTGTAATTTGTCACTGATTTCACAATTTTTAAAATGTTTTACTACAGTATCCTGGCCCATTACGTGTTTTAATTTTTTTTTGGAACTCCCATGACAGCAAAACAAGATAATAAATGTCTTTTAACATGGGAAGTACTTTCTCCTGTCTGGCAGGTTGCCCATACAACATGCAGATAAGAATCAACTGTCACATGGACAAACGACGATTTTCCAAATGAAGGTACATGTGTGACATCCATTTGCCATAATGCATTAGGACATAGACCTCTGGGATTAACTCCTGCCTCCTGAGTGGGCAGGTGTAGGACTTGACACTGGGTGCAATGTTGTACAATATTTTTTGCCTGTTTCCATGTGATATCAAATTTATTTTTTAGTCCTGTTGCATTTACATGAGTCAAAGCATGAAGTTCTTGTGCTTCTATGAATGCAGATGATACTAGCAAGTCAGCTTGTTCATTTGCTTTAGTTAAAGGCCTTGGTAAATTAGTATGTGCTCATATATGAGTAATATAAAATGGGAGATTTCTTTTTCTTACAATTTGTTGTAACAAATAAAAGGACTGGTTTAACTGATCATCCATACTATATTTGGTTAGGGCTGTCTCAACATCCTTTGTAGCTGTACTACATATGCAGAATCTGATTTTCAATGACTCATTCTTTCGGCCTGGTGTAAACCACTTTTCCATTGCTGGAACCATCAGTAAACACAGTCAGAGCATTTTCTAAAGGTTTATGTCTGGTAATTTTAGGTAAAATTCAAGTAGTCAATTTTAAAAACTGGAAGATTTTTGTTTTTGGGTAATGGTTATCAATAATTCCCACAAAATCAGCAAGAGCAATCTGCCATGCAGCAGAATTGATAAAGCCTTGTCTAAACTCTTCCTTGTTTAAAGGAACAATGATTTTATCTGGGTCACTTCCACACAATTTTATTATTTGTAATCTTGCCTGACCAATTAATGTAGCCATTTGATCCAAGTACAATGTAAAAGTCTTAATCGTACTGTCAGGAAGGAAAGATCACTCCACAAGATCTGTATTTTGAACAATAATGCCTGTTGAGAATATGCAGTAGCAAAAATCAAAAGTTGGAGTGGGGCGAAGTGATCTATTCTATTTACTTGTGCTGACCGAATTTTTTCTTCAATTAATTCAATTTCTTTAGTTGCCTCTGGAGTTAATGTTCTTTTACTATTCAATTCTGGATCCCCACTCAAGATAGAGAACAAATTTGACATGGCATAAGTAAGGATGCCTAGAATTGACCAAATCCAATTAATATCTCCTAGCAATTTATGAAAGTCGTTTAATGTTTTTAATGTCTTTTCTTATTTCTATTTTTTGTTGTTTAAATTTTCTTTCCTCTACCTGCATTCCCAAGTAATGGACAGGAGTAGAGGTTTGAATCTTATCAGATGCTATTGTCAGTCCTGAGTTTGCAACCTCTGTCTGCAGAAATGTGTGACAGTCAATTAATGTGTCTCTCGTTTCTGCAGCACACAAAAGATCATCAACATAATGAAAGACGTAGTCTGAAAACTTGTCTCTAACTGGTTGAAGAGCTTCAGCTACAAAAATCTGACAAATAGTTGGACAATTAAGCATTCCCTGAGGCAACACTTTCCACTGAAACCTGGTGGCTGGTTCTTTATTATTTATGGCTGGTATAGTAAAAGCAAATTTTTCAAAATCCTGTTTTGCTAGAGGAATGGTAAAAAAGCAATCCTTCAGATCAATTATAATTAAAGGCCAATCTTTGGGGATCATGGCCAGAGAGGGCAACCCAGGTTGGAGAGCCCCCATAGGTTGAATTACAGCATTGACGGCTCTTAAGTCGGTTAACATGTGCCATCTGCTGGATTTTTTCTGAGTTACAAACACAGGAGAATTCAAGGCGAAAATGAAGGCTCAATATGTCCCTTTGCTAATTGTTCTTTTGCCCGTAAGTGTAAAGCCTCCAGCTTTTGTTTTGGTAGCAGCCACTGATTTACCCATACAGGTTTTTCTGTTTTCCAAGTTAATGGAATGGGTTTTGGGGGCTCTACAGTGGCCACTCCTAAAAAGGATATCCTATTCCTTTTCTTTCTTGATTTCCCTCAGCCTCAATTGGGATTTTAATGCCATCTCCATTTTTCCCTAGTCCTTTGCCAGGGAGATACCCCATTTTAGTCTGATTTTTTGACTCGTGGGGCTGTATAAGGAGGCTGGGATAGTCATCTCTGCATGCCATTGTTGTAACAAGTCTCGGCCCCATAAATTAATTGGAATAGCAGTAATCATAGGTTGAACTGTACTTTCTTGATTATCAGGTCCTAGACAATGTAAAATCATGGTGCTTTGATACACTTTTGAGGCGCTGCCCACACCGACAAGTCCTGTAACAGGCTTTTGTTTAGGCCAATTTTTTGGCCATTGATTTAAGGCGATAATGGAAACATCAGCATCGGTATCCAATAATCCTATAAACTGCTTTCCCTGAATAGTGACTGTACACACAGGTCTATTCTCTGAGACCTGACGAGCCCAATGAGTGGCTTTTCCGGCAGAGTTGGTACTTCCAAACCCTCCTGTCCTTTCCGTTTTATTTTCCCCAATTTTAATATAAGGCAAAAGCAATAATTGAGCAATTCTATTACCTGGATTGGCACTCCAGGGAACAGTGGAGCTGATCACTAACTGAATTTCCCCTTTATAATCTGAATCAATTACCCCAGTATGAATTTGGACTCCCTTCAAATTTAGACTTCATCTCCCTAAAATGAGGCCTACTGTCCCTCCTGGCAGTGGGCCATATACCCCTGTAGGAATCTTTTGCGGGGTCTCTCCAGGGAGTAAAGAAACCTTTTGAGTGGAACATAAATCTACTGCTGTGCTGCCTGCTGTGGCGGGGGACAGCTGTTGTATTGTTGTAATTGGCTGATTCCCTGAAGTGGTGGTATTTGCTGTGGTGGTTGCTGTCCCTGAAAACCCTGAAGAACAAACGGCTGAATCGGGAATGCCCCAGTTTGTTGTTGGGACTGAGGCTGGCCCCTCACCCCTTTTTCTGACAATAGTTGCCCATTTTTATCATATTTAGAACGACATTGATTAGCCCAATGTTTTCCTTTTCCATGTCTTGGACACAGGCCAGGTGGCTCTTTATTTTTACTCTGTTTATTTAAGACTGGGCAGTTCTTTTTTAGATGACCGATTTGACCACAATTATAACATTTCCCCCCAAATGCTCTAACTATCCTCCTAAAGTGACTCCGGTCATTGCTTGAGCCATTAGCATTGCCTTACGCATAGCTCCTCCAATCCCATCACAAGCTTTCACATATTCCGTAATTACATCAACTCCTGCTGGACCTTTTCCTTTTAATGGCTTTATGGCTGGTTGAAATTCTGGATTTGACTTTTGATAAGCCATTATTTCTACAATAACTTTTTGAGCATTATCATCCGAAACAGATTTTTCAGAGGCATCTTGCAACCTTGCCACGGAGTCTGCATATGGCTCTTTGCAGCCTTGTCTAATTGAATTAGAAGAAGGGCAAGCGGTGCCTGGGCAAGTGATGCCTGGGCAAGTGGTGTGTGGGGCACCCAGGTGCCTGGGTCCTGAATTTTTTCCCAGTCCCTGAGGCAAAGAGCCCTTAGATATTCAATACCCTCATTCTGCATTACTGACTGTTGGCCAATTGTACTCCAATTTGGACCTGTTCCTAGCAATCGATCTGCATCTATATTAACAGCGGGATAAATAGCCTGACTTTTCGTGCCTGTTCTTGTACTCCATCAATCCACCAGGTTTTAAATTGTAGGAACTGAGAGGGTGAAAGGGAAGATTTAGCCAACATTTCCCAATCATAGGGAATAAGTCTATTTCCATGAGCAATGGGATCTAATAAAGTTCTCATATAAGGGGAGTTGGGTCCATATTGTTTAACTCCTTCCTTCATATCTTTTAACATTTTCATGGTGAAAGATTCATATCTAGCCTCAGTTTGGACAGACGCTCCAGCTTGCCCCCCTTTCCCAGCTGGTATTGGTTGTAAAATTACAAGGAACTGCCATGCCTCAAGATCTCCCTGTTTTCTGGCTTTATCAATGATTTCATGCAGTGTACTACCTTGTCCACTAGGTGGTGATGTAGGACTAAACACCGCTGGGTTGCTGGTGAGGTGCCGTGCTATGTGGCACGGGACACACAGCTTGAGGTCTGTATTGAACCTCCGGAGACGGCCCATACTGAAGCTTAGCTGGCGGCCAGTATTGATAAACTACCGGTGGTTGGGTCTTATTTTCTACCAGCTGATATTGTGGATACTGTATCTGAATTGGCATGGCCGGGATAGAGACTCTATCCTTTTCTACATGATATTCTCTTGGGGTTTGCACTTGTCTAACCTGCATTTGAGGTTGTAATGTTACAGGCATCTGAACCACTGGAGGAGGAGTTGATGGCCATTGTGGTTTAGGCTCTGGTAGCCCCAATAATTCTGGACCTCCTTCCACCAGTTTTGATGATTCAGGATATATTACCTCCTGTAACTGATTGTAGTCAACATTTTGCGTTGACTGAGCCATTACAGACTCTGTTACATTTTACAATGTGAACTTTCCATTAATTTCCGGGATTTTGTCTCTGCCTCTTCTTCACAATCTACTACACAGCTTTCAGGGGCATCAGAAATTGAAAGGCTATCTTTTTCTATTTGAAACGGTTCTAAAGTTGTTTTAATAATGGGCCAATCATTCCATACTGTAAGTGGGATGATTTTATCTTCCCTACTTGCTTGTTTTAATTCTTTGCCAATTTTCCCCCAATCTTTTAGATCTAAAGTCCTTGTTTTGGAAACCATGGGCAGAATTGTTCTATTGTTTGAAATAGCATAATTAGATTTTCTGTAGAAGCTCTAACTCCCCATCTTCTTAGAAGAATTTTAATGAAGCTGAGATAAGAGGCATATTTACTTTCAGTTTGTCCCATTGTTACCCTGGGTTCCTCTGAGCACACAAGCTTACCGCATGGCTGACCGTGGAAGTACTTGGGAATCTCTCGTTGACTGTCTTCAATGCTCACGTTTTTAGTGTACCTTCACCCTAGAGAAAGGCCCACGTTGGGCGCCAGGTGAAGGGGGTCAGCCACTCCACACCTGTGGGTATTTCTCATCAGGCAGGACAAGAGACTGAGAAAAGAAATAAGACACAGAGACAAAGTATAGAGAAAGAAAAATGGGCCCAGGGGACTGCTGCTCAGCATACGGAGGACCCACACCGGCACTGGTCTCTGAGTTCCCTCAGTATTTATTGATTACTATTTTCACTAACTCAGTAAGGGAAAAGTGGCAGGAGAGCAGGGTGATAGTGGGGAGAAAGTCAGCAAGAAAACATGTGAGCAGAGGAATCTGTGTCACAAATAAGTTCAAGGGATGGTACTATGCCTGGATGTGCACATAGGCCAGATTTATGCTTTTCTCCACCCAAACATCTCAATGGAGTAAAGAGTAACAAAGCAGCATTGCTGCCAACATGTCTCGCCTCCCACCACAGGCAGTTTTTCTCCTATCTCAGAATAGAACAAATGTATAATCAGGTTTTATACTGAGGCATTCAGTTCCCAGGGGCAGGCAGGAGACAGAAGCCTTCCTCTTATCTCAACTGCAAGAGGCCTTCCTCTTTTACTAATCCTCCTCAGCACAGACCCTTAATGGATGTCAAGCTGGGTGGAAGGTCAGGTCTTTCCCATCCAATGAGGTCATATTTCAGACTATCACATGGGGAGAAACCTTGGACAATACCTGGCTTTCCAGGGCAGGGGTCCCTGAGGTTTTTCACAGTGTATTGCACCCCTGGTTACTTGAGAATGGAGAATGGTGATGACTTTTATCAAGCATACTGCCTGTAAACCTTTTGCTAGCAAAGCACATCCTGCACAGCCCTGGATCCCTTAAACCTTGATTCTATACAACACATGCTGCTGTGAGCTCAAAGTTGGGGCTAAAGTTACAGATTAACAGCATCTCAGGGCAAAGTCAGGGTACAGATCAAAATGAAGTTTCTTATGTCTTCCTTTTCTACATAGACACAGTAACCGTCTGATCTCTCTTTCTTTTCCCTGCATACGCTAGTCTTCTTCTTTAGTCTGCTAGGTATGGGAAGGGTGTTAAGAAAGGATCTCTCATCAATATGACCTGGCCCCCAAAAAGCATGCTTGATTTTTGAATGTGGTAAAGAAATATTTAAACCATGTTTTATGTCTATATGATTATTAGTATTTATATGTTATTTTCTTTTGTTTTGTTTTGTTTTTGAGATGGAGTCTCACTCTGTCATGAGGCTGAAGTGTGGTGGCACAATCTCAGCTCACAGCAACCTACGCCTCCTGGGTTCAAGCAATTCTCCTGCCTCAGCCTCTCTAGTAGCTGGGAGTACAGGCATGTGACAACATGTCCAGCTAATTTTTGTAGTTTTAGTAGAGATGGGGTTTCACCATGTTGGCCAGGATGGTCTCGATCTCTTGATCTTGTGATTCTCCTGCCTCAGCCTCCCAAAGTGCTACTATTATAGGTATGAGCCAACAAACCCAGCCATATTTATATATTGTAGGCAGTATTTTGCTAAAAGGGAATTTTGATATCTTTATAAGACACAACTAGTTTAATTAAGGAAGGAGCACTGCCCACCATGACGACAGGTATGGGTTGGTGATGCCCTGAAGCTCCAGGTAATCAATGATGTGAATGTCCCCTTCCAAAGCAGGGGCCATGCCTTGTGCAGTGAATCTCTGTCCCAGCACAGCTAATGGTCAGAAATGGATTCTTCTCAATCTGCCCATTAGGACTGAACAGGGTCTCAGCATCTGGTTAGCAGGGAGGGACCTGAGAAGGGGCTTTACTTGAGTGACTCACACTCTTTGCCCACATAGAATGTTCCTGGCCCTGTGTGTGCATCTTGTGGGTATTCACCCACTGATCAGCCACAGAACAAAGTCAGGAGGTAACAGATTTGTAAAGAGAAGTAAAGAACAGGAGGGAATTGATAAAAATGAGGAAATTTCATTTGGATGCCTGACTTCCTGGGGCAGGACCTCATTAAAAACACAGCTCGGTGCTTCTGATTTTCTCTTTTTCTTGTCTCTTTTTCCTGAGACGGAGTCTTGCTCTATTTCCCAGGCTGCAGTGTAGTGGCTCTATCTCAGCTCACTTAAACCTCTGCCTCCTGGCTTCAAGTGATTCTCCTACCTCAGCCTCCCAAATAGCTCGGACTACAAGTGCCTGCCACCATGCTCAGCTAATTTTTTTTTTGGCCCCGAGTCTCGCCCTGTCGTCCAGGTTGGAGTGAAGTGGCACGATCTGGAGATCTCAAGTACATGGACCGGGGAGGCTGCAGGAATTTGTTTATCTTGGGCTGGGGGTGCATGGGAAGTAGGTAGGGCTCCTGTGACCACAAACCCAAGGCCTCTGGGATCAGAAGGCAACAACAAGGGCCAGGACCTACCCCGGGGCCTGTGCTTGCAGGGACCCTGGCTCTCATTTGTATGTGGGGTGCCTGAGTGATTTCAGATTCCTCACCCATCCCCATTGGCTCTTCTAGGGGAGATGCAACCATAACACCTGTAGGTGACCCTGTGTAGGAAAAGACTGCAGAACCCACACGGGCCCATGCTGAGTGAGGCTTTCTCCAGGTGGGCACAAAAACCCCTAGCTCCCCAGCCACTGCCAGAGCTTGGGGTTGGGGGCCTTACATGGAGGCAAATGCAGGGAGCATTGGCAGAGGCAGGGCTGAGTGAAAGGAGAAGAAGAGCACATGGAAAAGACACAGGGGTCTCTGACAGTTCCAGGGCCAGAGGCACTTGGGAGTGGGAGAGGCATGACTGGGAGATAGGTCCAGAGCTTTTTCTGAGCCCTGAGGCCCCAGCAGGTTTACTTCCCTTCGAAGATCTCTCTGGGCTATTGTGCCTGGGAGTCAGGGCTGGCTCTGCTGCAGCCCTGTGGGAAGGGCATAGATCCCTCAGGGTCTAAGGTTCAACTTTACTCTTATCCTCAAATGAGGGCTTTTACCCAGGGACCTCTTGTCCGCAGATTCCACGTCTTCTTGCTGGACTCCCAGAGGAAGTTGTCCTACCAGGGACATGGGATGTTATACTTTTCTCTTCCATGGAACCAGCTCTGTCAGGTAGAGTTGTGCCTTTCTAGGTGGCCACACACACACACACATACTTACCATGTGGACATTGCAGTGATGCCCACTGGGCTTCGGGTTCTTCCATAGCACCCAGCTGAAAAAAGCCTCACCTAAGGCTAAGAAGAGACCTGGCTTGGACAAAAAAATACTTAGTGCATTCCAGGTGCATCCTTATCAGCTCTAAGGCTGGGCCAGGGGAACCTGGGAAGGGATGGCCCCTGCGCTGGGACCTGTCCAAGGCTCTGTCATCATCCTGGCAGCCTTGGAAGACCAGAGGGGTCAGGTCTTCCTCTGCAAGCCAGGCAGTGTCACCACCCAGAAGTCCAGGGTGCCTCTTTAGGTCCAGAGCAGCAGCTGTGGAGTTTCCTGCTTTGTGCCTTGCCATGTTCACCAACATCACTCAATATAAACTGGGGAAAATTTCTTAATTACTGCTGGGTCTCTCTGCATTGTGGCCATGTTCTGAAGTCCAGGAGAGATGGGCTGATGGCCTTGGGATGCATAAAGTGACGCCGGCCCCATCAGCTCAGGCTGAGGGAGAAAACAGAGGCTCAGGAATATTCTAGAGAGCCTAAGCAAGGGCCTCATAGGAGCTTTGGAATCCCAGTGTGGATTCTGGGAGTGGAGAATAGGTCAGGTCGTTTCCTGAGATGGGTTTCGAAGGTTGCTCTGAGCTTGGCAGCAGATGAGCACCTCGAGAAGAACTGGTGACAGAACATGGTAGAAAAGACCCCAAGTGCAGGATTCTCACTGGGGTCCTGGGGGTGCTACTGCACCCCTTGAAATGGGCAGGAAGAGGGAGTCAGTTAGCCAGTTCTTTCCAATATTTAGCTTATTGAACACCTTGGGGGTTCCACTGAGCCCCTCACCTGAGGGGTTTGCCAATCATTTGCTGCCAGAACATGGGAAGATTTTTCTCTGGCCAAATCTCAGGTTTATCAGGTTAGAAATGGGGAAAATAGCAACGTGCCTTAGATTCTCCATGAAGAAGAGCTGAGGTCCGGGATGATCAGTACCAGCCGTCTGTTGTGCCTCGTGGATGCTCAGTGAACACAGATTCTCACAACCATTATTGGTGTTGAGCTCACCCTCAGCCTCAGGTTTACAAAGTGGGGCGTGGGAAGTAGAAGCCTCACTGGGCTCAGGTGATCCTCCCACCTCAACTTCTTGGGCAGCTTGGCCTACAGGTGCACACTGCCTCCCCCCAGCTAATATCTTGTATTTTTATTAGAGACAGGGTTTCATCACATTGCCCATATTCCTCACAAACTCCTGAGCTCTAGCACTCTGCCTTTCTTGGCTTCCCAAAGGGCTGGGATTAGAGGCCTGAGGTCTTTCTTTCTTTTCCTTCCTTCCTTCCTTTCTTTCTTTCTTTCTTTCTTTTTTCTTTCTTTCTTTCTTTCTTTCTTTCTTTCTTTCTTTCTTTCTTTCTTTCTTTCTTTCTTTCTCTTTCTTTCTTCTTTCTTTCCTTCCTTCCTTCCTTCCTTCCTTCCTTCCTTCCTTCCTTCCTTCCTTCCTTCCTTCTTTCTTTCTTTCTTTCTTTCTTTCTTTCTTTCTTTCTTTCTTTCTTTCTTTCTTGCATGCTTGCTTGCTTTTTCTTTTGTTCTTTTTTGACAGTGTCATGCCATCACCCAGGATGGAGGGCAGTGGCGCCATCTCAGCTCACTGCAACTTCACATCCTGGGTTTAAGCGATTCTCCTGCCTCAGCCTTCTGAGTAGCTGGGAGTGCAGACATCTGCCACTATGCTCGGCTAATTTTTTGTATTTTTAGTAGAGACGGAGTTTCACCGTGTTAGCTAGAATGGTCTTGATATACTGACCTCATGATCAGCCCACCTTGGCCTCTCAAAGTGCTGATGTTACAGGCATGAGCCACTGTGCCTGGGTCTGAGCTTTCTTTGTAGGCCTAATGTTGATGCTCTGATAAGAATCTCTATGTTCAATATTAGCGACAGGAAAGGACTCTAAGAAGGAGGAAACATGAATTATCAAATTAGAGTAGGAAGGGAGTGGGTGAGATTAAGATTTGGATGAAGGGTCCTGGAAAATGACTGGGGCCAATGGTTGCTGGGAAATGTTCCACTGTGGGAAGATCCCAGAGTCTAAAGGAAAGGTTTCCAGATGATAGAACAATGATGGACATATGGACCCTCGTTCATTTCTCTCTCACATCCTGTAGAGCCCACAGTTTCTACCTGGGTGGCTTCCAGCTTGGGAGAGCCTCCCTTCCCAGGTCTGGCCCCAATCTTCTCTCTGGCCTCTGCTCCAGTTCACATTCTTAGATTCCATCTTTGCAAGCTGGTTTTCTGAGAGGAGCCCATCAGTTTTGTGAGTAAACACCCTTTACCTTCTAGTAGGGCCAAGACTATACCTGCCCCCTGTGTTTTCAAAGTGAATGTTATGGTTTAAGTCTGCCCTATCTCTTTTGATGATTCTCCTTTTAATTTCTGAACTCAATCTAGGGTGGGTGAGATGGCTGATGCATGTTATCCCAGCCTTTTGGGAGGCCAAGGTGAGGAGATCACTTGAGGTCAGGAGTTTGAGACCAGCCGGGCCAACATGGTGAAACCCCATCTCGACTAAAATACAAAAATTAGTAGGGCTTGTTGGAGTGCACCCGTAATTCCCAGCTACTTGGGAGGCAGAAATGAGAGAATCACTTGAACCAGAAGGTTGAGGCTGCAGTGAGCTGAAATCGTGCCACTGCACTCCAGCCTGAGTGACAGATGTAGGCCCAGTCTGAAAATCAAACAAACAATCAATAAATAAACTCAATCTTGACAAAAGACTTTGAGTCCTGACATCTAGATGCCCACAAGATAACCGCCATGTTTTACATTGTCTTGTTTCCTTTGCAGGTTCCCATTAGAACACCTAGTCTCATTCCGCTCAGTCCCCACCTCACTTGGTCACTTTGTCCTGATTTCCTTCAGTGAAGCCTTGACTTAGTCTTGAGATAGATCACACTCTCAGTGGTTCCTTTCTTCTACCTGAATGTGCATATGATCTGCTATGTTAGATAGCATAAAACACAGGTGACCATTCGATATACACAGCTTTTTATTCTGTTTTCTTGGGAATGACATCACTATCTTCTTCAGGCTATTGTAGCTCTGAAACATTTTGACAATTTTGATGTGGCCAAACATCCTCCAATAAGGACACCTTAAGGTTTTTTTTTTTTTGGTCTAATATCAGGAACAGATTAATCCCTTCCCTACATCACTACGAAAGTCGTGTATTAGCCAAACTTCATCAGTATTTGGGGAATAAATGAACGAATGAGTTTTAGACTTTCACCCTATTATTTATTCTTTTACTTCCATAAATGTGTATCTAATTCAATCGATTAGTCAGAAGAAAGCTGAAAACTCAATCAGGATTAACTGGGTGTGACTGCAAGATCTAATCAGGTATCACTTTCTGATTGGAAGCTGGTGATTGAGAAGGGAAGGGTGGGGTTAGAAAGGTCTATAAAAGCTCCTGAGGGTACCCAGAAGAGACCCACAGCACTCATTCCTGGAGCTACTGCTTGGTTCCCTGAGAGGTCCCAGAACTCTGCAAAGTGAGTCCAGCGCTGGTAAGTCACCACCTGCTTAGGGTCATGCCCATCTGATCAGCAGCCAGCCAGTCAGGGACGGTGACACACATCCCAAAGTGGCACACAATATTTTTCTGTCTGTTTCGTGAGATGAACAGATTTAGGCTTTCATTTTTCCTCTAAATGTAGTTTTGTCTTCATCCATCAAATTGTGATTTGTGCTTGGTTTTTGTCATTTTAAAATTCTTATCGAAGCAGGTTTTTAAAAAATATATTAAAAATTTACAGTGACATGAATTTTTATTTCTTGACATTTGAAGTTATCTGTTTTTGTGCCCTTCAATTACAGTTCATAGACTTGGTGTTATTGTGATTCTCCAAGTATGCTTTCATTTTCATAAAATCCTTAAAGGTATCCCACACACCAATCTCAAGAGTGCAGTTTTGCTCAGATCATGGGATTTATCTTTGCCCCTAGGATCCATCAAAAAGTGGGTAATTGTGAGTATGTGGAAGTGATGTCTATAGGAACCTTCATCTCAGAGTTACAGTGCTCTAGAATAGCATGGTAGCACTTTTACAGTTTTTGAGATGGAGTTTCCCTATTGTTGCCCAGGCTGGAGTGCCATGGTGTGGTTTGGTTCACTGAAATTTCTGCCTCCTAGTTACATGCGATTCTCCTGCTTCAGCCTCCTGAGTAGCTTGGATTACAGGCACTCACCACCATGCCCAGCTAATTTTTGTATTTTTAGTAGACACAGGGTTTTGCCATGTTGGCCATGCTGGCCTCAAACTCCTGACCTCAGGAGATCTGCCCCCCTCAGACTCCCAAAGTGCTGGGATTACAGGAGTGAGCCACCGCGCCCAGGTACAGTTAGCATTTCTATACATACCTTCCAAATGCTGTGGAATACCATCACACCACTTTTACAGTTCCAGTGAATTATTTTGTTTTTTTTCTGCGATGTACTCTGAGTGTGTCACCCAGACTGGAGTGCAGGGCCCTGAGCTGGGCTCCCTGGAAACTCTGCCTCTGGGCTTCAAGTGATTCTCCTTCCTCTGCCTCCAGAGTAGCTAGGATTACAGTCATGCATGACCACACCTGGCTAACATTTTAATTAATTAATTTATCAATTTGTTTTTGTTTGAGTCGGAGTCCAACTCTGTCACCCAGGCTGGAGAGCAGTGGTGAGATCTTGGCTCTCTGCAACCTCTGCCTTCTGGAGTCAAATGATTCTTAATTTTTTTGTATTTAGTAGAGACATCGTTTCATTATGTAGGCCAGGCTGTTCTCGAACTCCTGACCTCAAGTGAACTGCCTGCCTTGGTGTCCAGCAGTGTTGGGATTACAGACATGAGCCACAGCACCTGGTCCATTTCTGGTAGAAAATTTTCAAAATAAAAAATAATGGCATCGATTTTAGGGAGTCCCTTTAGTGTTCCCCCAGCATGTTTATGGTGTAAACTGAGAATGGAGGCTGTCTGGGGCCACAGGACACTCTCATTCTCATTGCTTTAGGGTGGTAAGTGACAAGAAATTTTTCCTCAAAGAGGTAGAGCTTGGCTTTCAGGATCCTCAGTGGCACTGTCCGGTGGTTCTGGGATTCAGTGGAGCAATGGATGAAAATTAATAAACCAGTGGTCTCCTTGACCCCTCCCTCCTTGGTGTTTGGAAGACATTCTTCCTGGTACCAGTAGAAGCAGATGATTGTGTTTGCCATGAGAGTGATACATTTTCCCTGGATTTGTCTTCTAGAGATTTTCCTTGCAGATCTATCAGGATGAGCATCCAGGCCCCACCCAGACTCCTGGAGCTGGCGGGGCAGAGCCTGCTGAGAGACCAGGCCTTGTCCATCT
Source organism: Homo sapiens (assembly GCF_000001405.40). Taxonomy (NCBI): domain Eukaryota; kingdom Metazoa; phylum Chordata; class Mammalia; order Primates; family Hominidae; genus Homo; species Homo sapiens. The sequence goes on along the minus strand of NT_187517.1, from coordinate 142,972 downwards.
CTGCCATGGAGGAGCTGCCCAGGGTGCTCTATCTCCCACTCTTCATGGAGGCCTTCCGCAGGAGACACTTCCAGACTGTGACGGTGATGGTGCAGGCCTGGCCCTTCACCTGCCTCCCTCTGGGATCACTGATGAAGACGCTTCATTTGGAGACCTTAAAAGCATTGCTGGAAGGGCTTCATATGCTGCTTACACAGAAGGATCGCCCCAGGTGAGGTGACCCAGGAGGGCTGGTAGATAGGGCTCAGGTGTCCAGGGAAAGAACAGCAGGGTCAGGCAGAGAAGTAGCCCAAGTGTAGCCCAGAGTCTTCTGATGGTGTTGGCGAGGAAGATCAGGGAGGCTTTGGCCATTGTCCAGATCCTCAGAGAAAGGACTGCTCACCATACAGGGTCCACTGTGGGAACAGAAACCTGCCTTTTCTCAGTGGAAGGTAAAGGGAATAGAAGTGGGGACCACTCAGAATCCAAAGGGAAAAGGGATCAAGAAAAGACAAAGAGAACAGGGAGCACTGAGGACATGAGCAGCTGATTTATGGGATGACAATGAAAGCAAAGGTCAGGGATTTGTCCTTCTAAATTCTGAGCCTCTCCCTTATTTTACCCACAGGAGGTGGAAACTTCAAGTGCTGGATTAGCGGGACGTTGACGGGAATTTCTGGGCCAGATGGCCTGGAGCCTGGGCCCTGTCCTGCTTCCCAGAGACCATGAGTAAGAGGCAGACAGCAGAGGACCGTCCAAGGATGGGAGAGCACCAGCCCTTAAAGGTGTTCATAGACATCTGCCTCAAGGAAATACCCCAGGATGAATGCCTGAGATACCTCTTCCAGTGGGTTTACCAAAGGAGAGGTTTAGTACACCTGTGCTGTAGTAAGCTGGTCAATTATCTAACGCCGATTAAACATCTCAGAAAGTCGTTGAAAATAATATACCTGAATAGTATTCAATAGCTGGAAATTCACAACATGTCCTGGCCACGTCTGATAAGAAAGCTTCGTTGTTACCTGAAGGAGATGAAGACTCTTGGCAAACTCGTTTTCTCCAGGTGCCATCATTCCACGTCAGATAATGAACTCGAAGGACGGTTAGTCACCAAATTCAGCTCTGTGTTCCTCGGGCTGGAACACCTCCAGTTGCTTAAAATAAAATTGATCACCTTCTTCAGTGGGCACCTGGAACAGCTGATCAGGTGAGGAAGGATCATGCATTTTTTATGCAGACCACAGCATAGCCTTGTTCTCTTACAGCAAACATTAGAAGGCGTGTACTGTGTGCCAGCCAGTGGCAACGTCACAGTGAAGGGGACACCAGAATGTCAACACATTGTCCCATTCAGTGTTCCATGTCCTGGAGTGGCTATCACAGGATCGCTCCAATAAGGGCAGAGGGGTCACCTGGGGTAGAAGCTAGAGAGGGACATCATGTACAAGCTAGTTAGTGGGGGTTTCAGCTCTATTGGGGGTGCACGTGTGAATTTCCTGTTACAAAGTGTGTTTCAAGTTGATATGATGTCAAAGAGATAATAGAGGAGGGTATGAAAGGAGGGAAAGTGCATCAAACCTGTCCATTTCACAATAGAACGTCTGTCCTCACCGGCTTAGTGATCACGAATGATCCTGTCTCTGATTCCCTGTTTGTAAAAGGTTGTTTTGAACTCCAGGAAAGGTAACTGACATGGGAAATGCGTGCTTCTGGGATGGAGGTGAGGGAGTAGGCGTGAGAGTGGTAAAAAGTGACAGTTGGTTTGCAGATGCAGGCATGTCAGGTAGCCCCTGCCGACATGTAGCCCTAGCTGATGTCCCTAGACCTTGCTGAGTTGAGTTCTTTGTTCACATCTCCCACCGGGTACCTGTGGCCCAGAGATAAAGTTTTCTGCTAAAAGATGAAAAAAAAAAAAGGCTTTAGAGATTTTATGGCCTTGACCCAATCACACAAGCAATGGTGAAAGGGCTGATTCTAAAATGGGACAGCCCCTGAGCGATCAGGGTCCTCATCATGCAGCAACTTCCATGAGGACCATCATCAGATGGTGGGAACAAACTTGTGTTTGTTTGACGCAGGCATTTTCCTAGATGAAGGCACTACCTTCATCTAACTGGTACCATTGCCCAGAACTAACTTCTTGATCTCCACAGGTGCCTCCAGAACCCCTTGGAGAACTTGGAATTAACTTATGGCTACCTATTGGAAGAGGATGTGAAGTGTCTCTCCCAGTACCCAAGCCTCGGTTACCTAAAGCATCTGAATCTCAGCTACGTGCTGCTGTTCCGCATCAGTCTTGAACCCCTCGGAGCTCTGCTAGAGAAAATTGCTGCCTCTCTCGAAACCCTCATCTTGGAGGGCTGTCAGATCCACTACTCCCAACTCAGTGCCATCCTGCCTGGCCTGAGCCGCTGCTCCCAGCTCACCACCTTCTACTTTGGCAGAAATTGTATGTCTATGGGTGCCCTGAAGGACCTGCTGCGCCACACCAGTGGGCTGAGCAAGTTAAGCCTGGAGACGTATCCTGCCCCTGAGGAGAGTTTGAATTCCTTGGTTCGTGTCAATTGGGAGATCTTGACCCCACTTCGGGCTGAGCTGATGTGTACACTGAGGGAAGTCAGGCAGCCCAAGAGGATCTTCATTGGCCCCACCCCCTGCCCTTCCTGTGGCTCATCACTGTCTGAGGAACTGGAGCTCCATCTTTGCTGCTAGGGAAGGCATGCCCAGTGGGGTAGAGAAATCCAAAGTTCTCTTCCAGGCACTTGGACACTAAAATCTACTATGTAGGTGCAAGCTATTTTTCTCTTTTCTTATTTATTTCATTTTTTAATAATTCCAAAATTTTTATTAAAGACAATTTGAGACAGGGTTTCTCTGTGTTGCTCTGGGATCCTCCTGCCTCAGCTGGGCTTATGGGATCCTCCTGCCTCAGCTTCCTAAAGTGCTGGGATTACTGGCATGAGTGACTGTGTCCAGGCCACATGCAACTTAAAGGAAGCACAGGGAAGTGCTCAGTGTGAGGGAGAAAACATAACAGCAGGGGGCAAGGCTGGAGGAAAATGTTGAGGTGACATCAATGAGAACTTCAGGGACCCGTGTCCTACAGAGTCGGAAAGAGAAGCTAAAGTTCTACAGTGATGAGAATGTTATCCCTGCAAGGATGGTTACCAAGGAATATCAGAAATAAAGAGCACCTGAATGAAAACTTTTAACGTGTTGTAGCAATTTATCCACCAGAAATATCTAGTTATTGAGTTACTGATGGAAAAATAATGAAATACTACTTTGTCTGTGATTGAGTTTCAGCTGTAGAACATCAAAGCAACCAAATAAAATTTGATCATTTTAAGTATTTCCCACCCATTCTTGTTCTTTGTTTTGTTTTGGAGACAAAATCTCAGTTTGTCATTTAGGCTGGAGTGCAGTGGTGCAATCTGGGCTCATTGCAATCCTTTCCTTCAGGGCTCAAGTGATTCTTGTGCCTCAACCACTCAAATAGCTGGGACTGCAGGCACGTTCCACCAAGACTGGCTGATTTTTGTATTTTTAATAGAGATGAGGTTTTTCCGTGTTGATCAGCCTGGTCTCAAGATCCTGGCTTCAAGTGATCCACTGACCTTGGCCTCCCAAAGCGCTAGGAAAACAGGCATACAGATGATCTCCACCCATTCTTTACTTCTCTTCAGTCATCAGTTTTTTTCTTACTTTTTTGCCCACGGGGAGCAGCTCGGTCAGGCGCGAAGGGACGGGCAGAGAGGGGCCCCAAGGAGAAGATAGGAATGGGGTGGTGCCACGCTCGCACAAGATGTGCGGATGCCAGGCCCAGAAGGCATAGCTGGGGCCATCCATCAGGGGGCCAGGGTGAGAAGCAGAAATGGCACCTGCTTCAAGGACCTGGCCAGCTATCTGGTCACTGTGCCCATCCTGCTAACGGTGTCAAGCTCCCAGGTCTTGAAGGGAGGTTCTATGCGGATCCACCCCAGGCTGTGTTTCCGAGATCCGCCCCCCATAGGGGTGACCAGCCCGATTGCTGGGCCTGGAACCATGAACCACTCCTGGAGGCACTCCCCTTGACTGGGTCATGAGCCAGGCCTGTGCTCCATTTCCCTGAGGCAGCCAACTGTGCCACCCACACCCTCTCATCGCAAAATGGAACCTTGTCCCAGGTCTGGAGTCTCCACCACAGCCTCTACTTCACTGCTCACTGCCTGCTGTTAGCCTGCAAGCTCCTGGATGATAGTGCAGTTGGGGCTGGTTAAACCACACCCAGGAGCATTGGGTTTGTTTGTGCGGGGTTGGTCAGAGCTGCTGTGTATCTGCTTCTCAACTGTCACTTCTGCAGGGAAACACAGAGAAAGGGCACATCCAAGGCTGCGTACACTTCAGAGCTGATGGGAGCCTGGGACAAGAGGGAGTCCTGGTCCTCCTGAGTTGGCAGGGCAGTAGCTCCAAAGACGCAACTGAAGTTGTCCAGGTCACAGTTACCAAATGAGGTCCCCCAGTACTCTCGAGGGTCCAGGAGATCCCCCCTTCTCCTGCAGCTTGGGGGTGTCCGCTCTCACTGCCTCATCTCTCATGGCACCTGCTCTAATTTTGGAGTGTGGTTGTGGTCAAGCCCAGATGCTGTCGCAGCCCAGGTGGGTCTGTGCACACTCGGGTCAGTGCTGATGCACCATCCCACTGCTGTCTTGAACCCTCTGGACTTTGGGCCTTGATGAGTGTAGGAGGGAGGCTGAGGGGTGTTGCGGACTGATCAGCACTGGTCTTTGGATGCTCCTTGGTACAAGTGACCTGGGCTCCATGGTTGGTGGTGGGAGGCAGACAGAATCCTGGACAGGAAGGTGAGGGTCACTGGTGAAGCTCCACCTTCTGATCAAGGAGGGCCTGAAGCCCATGGGCTGGGCCACCAGTCCTATGGACCAGAGTGGGAACATGTGTTGCCTTTTCTGTGCCTGCTCATGGCCACCTATGACCCAATGAGTGCATACTTTCTCCTGTCTGATGTCAAAAAAACCCCAGACTCAGGGAGAACATTAGGAAGACCAGTGGCAGAGAGGAACTACCCACTGTGGGGATGATTTTCCTGTAGAGACAAGCAACCCCCTCCGGGTCCTTTTCTCTGCTGAGAGCTGTAGAGATGATGAGATGACTTTCCTGCAGAGAGCAGCAACCCACTCCAGGGCCTTCTCTCTACTGAGAGCAGTGGTGATGATGGAATAACCTGCCAGGAGGGAGGGGTCACCCACCCAGGGCCTCCTCTCTGCTCAGTACTAAACACTCATCAGGACGCCCTGGCTGCAGAAAGAAGTTACCCACTGTGGGTCTCTGAGCTGTTCTATTGCTCAATAAAGCTCCTCTTTATCTCACTCACCCTCCACTTGTCTGCATATTTCACTCTTCCTGGTCACAGGACAAAAACTTGAGACCCGCCTAATGGTGGGGTAAAAGAGCAATAACACAAATAAAGCTGAAACATGCCCCTTGCTCACCAAATTGTAGGTGAAGAGAAAAAGAGAAGAGCGACTACTCTTCCAGGAGCCCAGATGTGGGAGCTTCCTGAGCCAGGGCTGTGACTCCCTTTTGGGGGTTCTGCAGTTCCTGGCATTTCCAAGCTTTCAGTGTTGGTGTCACTGTGTATTCCAGTGACAACCATGGAAGCTGTTTGTGCTGTGCCTGATTCATTTGCAGCCTTGCAGAAATCTGGCACACATGCTGACACCTGGAGCTGCCCAACCCACTGCTGCAGCAGCAGCAGCCGGTGACCGTCCAAAGTGGCCAGACCCCCTGCTCACTCACACACCCCTCACCACTCCAGCCCTGACCCGCCCTTAATAGGCATGTGCTCCAGGCTTGAAACATGAGCCAAGCATAGTCTACCAGGCTGCATGGGCAGAACGAACCCAGTGAACCCCATCAAAACTCTGGCAAAGGTGCCCCCAGCCACAGAGGTTTCTGGCCAGAAGAGTCACATTCTAAGTATTCCAGAAGAGAAAATTACTTAAACACAAAGAAAGACAATAAGAAAAGGATGGAAGAGAGAAGTCTCTAAACAACCAAAAAACAAGAAATGAAATGGGAGCACTAAGCCTTTATCAATAAAAACAATGAATATAATTTATCTCAATTCTGCAAGTGAAAGGCATAGGGTCTTTGAATGAGTAAAAACATAAAACCCTACTATATGCTGTTTTCCAGAAACTTAATTCACCTATAAACATACATGTAGATGGAAAGTGAATGGGTAGAATAAGATATTCCATGCAACTGGAAACCAAAAACAGCAAGAGTAGCTGTACTTATATCAGGTAAAATAGATGCCAAATCTCACAATGCACTCAGATAAAACAGAATACAAATCTGAGCTTGTAAAATAATAGACTACGCTTACACAAACTATGCCTAGAAAGAACATACATCAAAATAATAGAAGCCAAAAATGACAAATCCACATGCAACATCATATTGAATGAAGAAACGTTGAAAGTATTCCTGCTAGGAACTACAAGCAGACAAAAATCCTCACTTTATCCACTTGTAATCAACATAGGACTGAAAATTTTTGTCAGAGCAATCTGGTAAGCAAAAGGAATAAAGTATAATTAAATTGGAAAGAAGGAAGTGAAACTACCTGTGTTTGCCAATGATGTGATCATATGTGCTTAGAAAACTGGAAAGATTCCACCAAGACTCATAGATGCGATAAGTGAATTCACTTAAATCTCAGGTACAAAATCAATATGTACAAATAAGTACCACTGTTTGATACCAACAACAAGCAAGCTGAGAATCAATTCAAGAACTCCATCCCTTCACAATAGTTGCAAAACAACAACAAAAACAGTGACAATAACAAAAACAACCTAGGAATACACTTAACCATTAGGTAAAGGATCTCTATGAGATGAACTACAAGACACTGCTGAAAAAAATCATAGACAACAAAAAAGTAGAAAAACAGCCCATGCTCACGGATTGACAGACACAATATTGTGAAAATGACCACACTGCCCAAAGCAATCTAAAAACTGCAAACATCAAACATCAATCTAAAAACGTCAGTCTAAAAATTTCATACACCAAAATACAAACACCATTTTCACAAGATTAAAAAAAGAATCCTAAGATTCATATGGAGATGAAGAAGAGCCTGAAGAGCCAAAGCAATCCGAAGCAAAATGAACAAATATGGAGACATCACATTACCTGACTTCAATTTATACAGTAAGGCAATAGTAAGCAAAACTGCGTGGTGCCAGTATGAAGGTCGAGACATAGACCAATGGAATGGAATAGAGAACCCCGGAATAAAGCCGCATACTTACAACCCAGCGGTAGGACTGCTGCTTCTCAGTTTGTGCTGAGTGATGCCCCTTGGGGATATGGGGCCAAAGTTACTGGATTTTTCCCCCAAGAAAACCAGAGAGTGAATTGTGATATCCTGTGTGATTTTTAGACTGACTATTGCCATAGTGCTTAGGTCGTCTCCAGGTGCCCAGAGACTCAATCACCAACCAGTGTCCACATTCTTGTCACCGCTGCAAGAAAGAGTTTAGGAAGTAGGCAGAATGAAGCAAAAGGCAAGAAGTGTCTATTGCAAAGCAAAGGAACACACTCAAGAGAGGGCTTATTCAGGAGAGCGAGTCAGGTACAAGAGAGTTTGGGTTTCTAATTTTATAGGATCTGTAAGGAGAGGTTGAAATAATCATTAGGATTTTAAGAAAAAATGGTGAAGTTTTCTTAGAACTGAGGTGTCATTTATTTATTTATTTATTTATTTATTTATTTATTTATTTATGTTTTGAGATGGAGTTTCGCTCTTGTTGCCCAGGCTGGAGTGCAATGGCGCGATCTTGGCTCACTGCAATCTCCGCCTCCCGTGTTCAAGCAATACTCCTGCCTCAGCCTCTGGAGTAGCTGGGGTTACAGACATGCACCACCACACTCGGCTAATTTTGTATTTTTAGGAGAGACGAGATTTCTCCATGTTGGTCAGGGTGGTCTCAAACTCCCGACACCAGGTTATCCGCCTGCCTCAGTTTCCCAAAATGTTGGGATTACAGGCATGAGCCACTGCACGTGGCTAGGTGTTAACTATTTTTATACTAAATATGGGCATTCTCAGAACCGTCCTGGCGCTGGTGTGTGACTTACTGTCATAATAGGTGTATAATTAGGCCTGGGGTAGGGCAAGGGTCAAACCCAGTGCCATGTCTGACCAATTCAGTGTCAGCCAGCTTAGCCCCTTCCTGCTTGTTCGGATCTTATGGGTCAAGGCTTATCCTTATTCTTGCAGCTAATTTTACAAGCTCTTTTCTTGCTGCTATATGAAATCACTGCTTGATATTTTCATGCTTCTCCTGTGACCAGCCAGCTTTCCTATTTTATGGGTATTTCTTTTCTTCTCCCTTCCCTTCCCTTCCCTTCCCTTCACCTCCTCTCCCATCCCCTCCCCTCCACTGTCTTTTCTTTTCCTTTCTTTCTTTCTTTCTTTCTTTCTTTCTTTCTTTCTTTCTTTCTTTCTCTCTCTCTCTCTCTCTTTCCTTCCTTCCTTCCTTCCTTCCTTCCTTCCTTCCTTCCTTCCATCTTTCTTGCTTCATCTCTTTCTTTCTTTCTTTCTTTCTTTCTTTCTTTCTTTCTTTCTCTTTCTTTCTTTCTTTCTTTCTTTCTTTCTTTCTTTCTTTCTTTCTTTCTTTCTTTTTTTCTTTCTTTCTTTCTTTCTTTCTTTCTTTCTTTCCACTTTAAGTTCTGGGATACATGTGCAGAACGTGCAGTTTTGTTACATACGTATACACATGCCATGGTGGTTTGCTGTACCCATCAACCCGTCATCTACATTAGGTATTTCTCCTAATGCTACCCCTCTCCTAGCCCTCCACACCCCGAGAGGCCCTGATGTGTAGTGTTCCCCTACCTGTGACCATGAGTTCTCATTGTTCAACTCCCACTTATGTGGTGTTTTGGTTTACTGTTCCTGTGTTAGTTTGCTGAGAATGATGGTTTCTAGCTTCATCCATGTCCCTGCAAAGGAAATGAACTTATTTTTTATGACTGCATAGTATTCCATGATGTATATGTGCCACATTTGCTTTATCCAGTCTATCATTGATGGGCATTTGGGTTGGTTCCAAGTCTTTGCTGTTGTGAATAGTGCTGCAATAAACATACTTGTGCATGTGTCTTTATAGTAGAAGGATTTATAATCCTTTGGATATATACCCAGTAATGAGATTGCTGGATCAAATGGTATTTCTGGTTCTAGATCCTTGAGGAATTGCCACACTGTCTTCCACAATGGTTGAACTAATTTACACTCCCACCAACAGTGTCAAAGCATTCCTATTTCTCCACATCCTTTCCAGCATCTGTTGTTTCCTGACTTTTTAATGATCACCATTCTAACTGGCATGAGATGGTATCTCACTGTGGTTTTGATTTGCATTAGAGAAATGCAAATCAAATGACCAGTGGTGATGAACATTTTTTCATATGTTTGTTGGCTGGATAAATGGTTTTTTTGGAGAGTTGTCTGTTAGTATCCTTCACCCACTTTTTGACAGGGTTGTTTGTTTTTTTCTTGTAAATTTGCTTAAGTTCCTTGTAGATTCTGGATATTAGCCATTTGTCTGATGGATAGATTGCAAAAAATTTTCCCATTCTATAGGTTGCCTGTTGACTCTGATGATAGTTTCTTTTGCTGTGCAAAAGCTCTTTATTTTAATTAGATCCCATTTGTCAATTTTGGCTTTTGTTGCCATTGGTTTTAGTGTTTTAGCCATGAAGTCTTTGCCCATGCCTATGTCCTGAATGGTATCACCTAGGTTTTCTTCTAGGGTTTTTATGGCTTTAGGTCTTACATTTAAGTCTTTAATCCATCTTGAGTTAATTTTTGCATAAGGTGAAAGGAAGGGGTTCATTTGCAGTTTTCTGCATATGGCTAGCCAGTTTTCCCAACACCGTTTATTAAATAGGGAATCCTTTCCCCATTGGCTGTTTTTGTCAGGTTTGTCAAGGTTCAGATGGTTGTAGATGTGTGGCATTATTTCTGAGTCCTCTGTTCTGTTCCATTGGTCTACATATCTGTTTTGATAACTGTACCATGTTGTTTTGGTTACTGTAGCCTTGTCGTATAGTTTGAAGTCAGGTAGCGTGATGCCTCCAGCTTTGTTCTTTTTGCTTAGGATTGTGTTGTGTATACAGGTTCTTTTTTGCTTCCATATGAAGTTTTAAGTAGTTTTTTCTAATTCTGTGAAGAAACTCCATTACAGCTTGATGGGGATAGCATTGAATCTATAAATCACTTTGGGCAGTATGGCCATTTTCATGATATTGATTCTTCAGACCCATGAGCGTGGAATGTTTTTCCATGTGTTAGTGTCCTCTCTTATTTCCTTAAGCAGTGGTTTGTAGTTCTCCTTGAAGAGGTCCTTCACATCCCTTGTAAGTTGTATTCCTATGTATTTTATTTTCTTTTAGCAATTGTGAATGGGAGTTCACTCATGATTGGCTCTCCGTTTGTCTATTGTTGATGTATAGGAATGATTTTGATTTTTGCACATTGATTTTGTATCCTGAGACTTTGTTGAAGTTGCTTATCAGCTTTAGGAGATGTTGGGCTGAGATGATGGGGTTTTCTAAATATACAATCATGTCATCTGCAAACAGAGACAATTTGACTTCCTCTCTTCCTATTTGAATACTCTTTATTTCTTTCTCTTGCCTGATTGCCCTGGCCAGAACTTCCAATACTATGTTGAATAGGAGTGGTGAGAGGGGGCATCCATGCATTGTGCTGGTTTTCAGAGGGAGTGCTTCTAGCTTTTGCCCATTCAGTATGATATTGGCTGTGGTTTTGTCATAAATGGCTCTTATTATTTTTACATACGTTCCATCAATACCTAGTTTATCTAGAGTTTTTAGCCTGAAAGGGTGTTGAATTTTATCGAAGGCCATTTCTGCACATATTGAAACAATCATGTGGTTTTTGTCATTGGTTCTGTTTATGTGATGGATTACGTTTATTGATTTGCGTAAGTGGAACCAGCCTTGCGGATCAGGGATGAAGCCGACTTGATATTGGTGGATAAGCTTTTTGACGTGCTGCTGGATTCGGTTTGCCAGTATTTTATTGAGGATTTTTGCATCGATGTTAATCAGGGATATTGGTCTCAAATTCCCTTTTTTTGTTGTGTCTCTGCGAGGCTTTGGTGTCAGGATGATGCTGGCCTCATAAAATGAGTTAGGGAGGATTCCCTCTTTTTCTATTAAGTGGAATAGTTTCAGAAGGAATGGTACCAGCTCCTCCTTGTACCTCTGATAGAATTCGACTGTGAATCCATCTGGTCCTGGACTTTTTTTGGTTGGTAAGCTATTAATTATTTCCTCAATTTCAGAGCCTGTTATTGGTCTATTCAGAGATTCACCTTCTTCCTGGTTTATTCTGGGGAGGGTGTATGTGTTGAGGAATTTATCCATTTCTTCTAGATTTTCTAGTTTATTTGCATAGAGGTGTTTATAGTATTCTCTGATGGTAGTTTGTCTTTCTGTGGGATCCGTGGTGATATGCCCTTTATCATTTTTTATTGCATCTATTTGATTCTTCTATCTTTTCTTTATTAGTCTTGCTAGCAGTCTATCTATTTTGTTGATCTTTTCAAAAAACCAGCTACCGGATTCATTGATTTTTTGAAGGGGTTTTTGTGTCTCTATTTCCTTCGGGTCTGCTCTGATCTTAGCTATTTCTTGCTTTCTGCTGGCTTTTGAATATGTTTGCTCTTGCTTCTCTAGTTCTTTTAATTGTGATGTTCGGTTGTCAATTTTAGATCTTTCCTGCTTTCTCTTGTGGGCATTTAGTGCTATAAATTTCCCTCTACACACTGCTTTGAATGTGTCCCAGAGATTCTGGTATGTTGTGTCTTTTTTCTCATTGGTTTCAAAGAATGTCTTTATTTCTGTCTTCATTTCGTTATGTACCCAGTAGTCATTCAGGAGCAGGTTGTTCAATTTCCATGTAGTTGAGCGGTTTTGAGTGAGTTTCTTTTATTATTATTATTATGCTTTAAGTTTTAGGGTACATGTGAACAACGTGCAGGTTTGTTACATATGTATACGTGTGCCATGTTGGTGTGCCGCACACATTAACTCGTCTTTTAGCCTTAGGTATACCTCCTAATGCTATCCTATGCAGCCATAAAAAATGATGAGTTCATGTCCTTTGTAGGGACATGGATGAAGCTGGAAACCATCATTCTCAGCAAACTATCACAAGCACAAAAAACCAAACACTGCATGTTCTCGCTCATAGGTGGGAATTGAACAATGAGAACACATGGACACAGGAAAGGGAACATCACACACTGAGTGAGTTTCTTAATCCTGAGTTCTAGTTTGATTGCACTGTGGCCTGAGAGACAGTTTGTTATAATTTCTGTTCTCTTACATTTGCTGAGGTGTGCTTTACTTCCAACTATGTGGTCAATTTTTGGAATAAGTGCAGTGTGGTGCTGAGAAGAATGTATATTCTGTTGATTTTGGATGGTGAGTTCTGTAGATGTCTATTAGGTCCGCTTGGCGCAGAGCTGAGTTCAATTCCTGTATATCCTTGTTAACTTTCTGTCTCATTGATGTGTCTAATGTTGACAGTGGGGTGTTGAAGTCTCCCATTATTATTGTGTGGGAGTCTAAGTCTCTTTGTAGGTCTCTAAGGACTTGCTTTATGAATCTGGGTGCTCCTGTATTGGGTGCATCTATATTTAGGATAGTTAGCTCTTCTTGTTGAATGGATCCCTTTACCATGATGTAATGGCCTTCTTTGTCTCTTTTGATCTTTGTTGGTTTAAAGTCTGTTTTATCCGAGACTAGGATGGCAACTCCTGCCTTTTTGTGTTTTCCATTTGCTTGGAAGATCTTCCTCCATCCCTTTATTTTGAGCCTATGTGTGTCTCTGCATGTGAGATGGGTTTCCTGAATACAGCACACTGATGGGTCTTGACTCTTTATGAAATTTGCCAGTCTGTGTTTTTTAATTGGAGCATTTAGCCCATTTACATTTAAGGTTAATATTGTTATGTGTGAATTTGATCCTGTCATTATGATGTTAGCTGGTTATTTTGCTCTTTAGTTGATGCAGTTTCTTCCTAGTATCGATGGTCCTTCCAATTTGGCATGTTTTTGAAGTGGCTGGTACCAGTTGTTCCTTTCCATGTTTAGTGCTTCCTTCAGGAGCTCTTTTAGGGCAGGCCTGGTGGTGACAAAATCTCTCAGCATTTGCTTGTCTGTAAAGGAATTTATTTCTCCTTCACTTATGAAGCTTAGTTTGGTTGCATATGAAATTCTGGGTCAAAAATTCTTTTCTTAAGAATGTTGAATATAGGCCCCCACTCTCTTCTAGCTTGTAGAGTTTCTGCCGAGAGCTCCGCTGTCAGTCTGATGGGCTTCCCTTTGTGGGTAACCCGACCTTTCTCTCTGGTTGCCCTTAACATTTTTTCCTTCATTTCAACTTTGGCGAATCTGACAATTATGTGTCTTGGAGTCGCTCTTCTCAAGGAGTATCTTTGTGGCATTCTGTGTATTTCCTGAATTTGAATGTTTGCCTGCCTTGCTAGATTGGGGAAGTTCTGCTGGATAATATCCTGAAGAGTGTTTTCCAGCTTGGTTCCATTCTCCCCATCACTTTCAGGTACACCTGTCAGACATAGACTTGGTCTTTTCACATAGTCCCATATTTCTTGGAGGCTTTGTTCATTTCCTCTTATTCTTTTATCTCTGAACTTCTCTTCTCGCTTCATTTCATTCGTTTGATCTTCCCTCACTGATACCCTTTCTTCCAGTTGATGGAATCAGCTACTGAGGCTTGTACATTTGTCACGTGGTTCTCGTGCCATGGTTTTCAGCTCCATCAGGTCCTTCAAGGACTTCTCTGCATTGGTTATTTTAGTTAGCCATTCATCTAATTTTTTTTCAATGTTTTTGACTTCTTTGCCATGGGTTCGAACTTCCTCTTTTAGCTCAGAGTCGTTTGATCATCTGAAGCCTTCATCTCTCAACTCATCAAAGTCCTTCTCCCTCTAGCTTTGTTCCATTGCTGGTGAGGAGCTGCGTTCCTTTGGAGGAGGAGAGGAACTCTGATTTTTAGAGTTTCCCGTTTTTCTGCTCTGTTTTTTCCCCATCTTTGTGGTTTTATCTACCTTTGGTCTTTGATGATGCTGATGTACAGACTGGGTTTTGGTGTGGATGTCCTTTCTGTTTGTTAGTTTTCCTTCTAACAGTCAGGACCCTCAGCTGCAGGTCTGTTGGAGTTTGCTGGAGGTCCACTCCAGAAGCTGTTTGCCTGGGTATCAGCAGCAGAGGCTGCAGAACAGTGGATATTGGTGAACAACAAATGTTGCTGCCCGATCGTTCCTGTGGAAGTTTTGTCTCAGAGGAGTACCTGGCCATGTGAGGTGTCAGTCTGCCCCTGCTGGTGGGTGCCTCCCAGTTAGGCTACTTAGGGGTCACAGACCCACTTGAGGAGTCAGTCTGTCCATTCTCAGATCTCCAGCTGCGTGCTGGGAGAACCACTACTCTCTTCAAAGCTGTCAGACAGGGACATTTAAGTCTACAGAGGATTCTGCTGCCTTTTGTTTGGCAATGCCCTGCCCCCAGAAATGGAGTCTGTGGAGGCAGGCAGGCCTCCTTGAGCTGCAGTGGGCTCCACCCAGTTCCAGCTTCCTGGCTGCTTTGTTTACCTACTCAAGCCTCAACAATGGCAGGCTCCCCTCCCCCAGCCTTGCTGCCGCCTTGCAGTTTGATCTCAGACTGCTGTGCTAGCAATGAGTGAGGCTCCGTGGGCATAGGACCTTTTGAGCCAGACACGGGATATAATCTCCTGGTGTGCCATTTGCTAAGACTGTTGGAAAAGCGCAGTATTAGGGTGGGAGTGACCGGATTTTACAGGTGCCATCTGTCACCCCTTTCTTTGACTAGGAAAGGGAATTCCCTGACTCCTTGCACTTCCCAGGAGAGGCAATGCCTCATGCTGCTTTGGCTCATGCTCGGTGCACTGCACCCACTGTCCTACACCCACTTTCTGACACTCCCCAGTGAGAAGAACCTGGTACCTCAGTTGGAAGTGCAGAAATCACCCGTCTTCTGCACCGCTCAGGCTGGGAGCTGTAGACTGGAGCTGTTCCTATTCGGCCATCTTGGCTCAACCCCCTAGTTAATTTTTGTGTCTTTAATAGAGACAGGGTTTCATCATATTGGCCAGAGTCGTCTTGAACTCCTGACTGAAGTGATCCACCCACCTCAGTCTCTGCAAGTGCTGGGATTACAGATGTGAGCCACTGTGCCTGGTCAATTGCTGGACGTTCATGATACACCTGGAGTATCCACAGTATCACAAGGGCCATTTTTTTCCATAATCCAATTTATTTATATTATTGGTAGTGAGCTAATGTTGATGTCCCCAAGGTAGCAATTTAGTGACTATACCCATGATAAACGTTTCCATGCATCACGTGGTCAACAGCATTTGCTACCAAGTGCCACGTTCCATGCTCAGCAGTGGGAACACAGGATGATGGAGACAAAGTTCCTGACCTTTAGCAGCAATATCGAACAAGTGAGATTGTCAAGAAAGAAGAAATAATTGTAAAACATACCATACCCCTACAATTCCGTAATCATGCTCCTGGATATTTAATGAAGTGAGTAAACCCACACCTGGATGTTTACAGCAACTTACTCATAATCGCCAAAACTTGGAAGCTAGCAAGTTGCCCTTCGGTCAGTGACTGGATAAGCAAACTGATCCATCCAGTCAGTGAACTATTATAAAGCTGTAAAAAGACATGAAAAATTCCTAAATGCACGTTATTGTACAAGTGAAAGAAGGCAATCTGAAAAGACTCATCCTGTTAGACATTCCAGAAAAAGCTTTTGCATTTTTCTAAGGAGACAGTAGAAAGCCCAGTGGATGCAAGGGGTTGGGAGCACAATGGGATGAATGGGAAGAGGACAGAGGAATTTTAGGGAAAGAAAACTACTGTCCATGATGCTCTAATGGTGGATACATGTCATTATCCCTTTGTTAAAATCCATAGAATGTACAAAACCAGCAATGATCCCTCATGTGAACTATGGACATTGGGTGATAATGATGTGTCCCTGTGGCTCATTGGTTGTGATGAATGCTCTGTGCTGGTGTGGGTGCTGATCCTGTGGGGGTGCTGTGTATTGAAGGGGGAAGAAGGTAGATGAGAACTCTGCAGTTTCTGCTTAGTTTTTCTGTGAATCTAAAACTGCTGTAAAGGAAAAAATAGGCTGGGTGTGGTGGCTCACGCCTATAGTCGTAGCATTTTGGGAAGCCGAGGCAGGTGGATCACCTGAGGTCAGGGGTTCCAGACCAGCCTAGCTAAAATGACAAAACCCTGTCTCTACTAAAAAAAATAATAATAATAATACAAAAATTAATCAGGTGTGGTGTTGCATGCCTGTAATCCCAGCTACTCTGGAGGCTGAGACAGGAACATTGCTGGGACCCTGGAGGCAGAAGTTGCAGTGAACAGAGATCGTACCTCTGCACTCCAGCACGGATGACAGAAGGAGACTCCATCTCCAAAATAAATAAATAAATAAACTCAAGGCTGGGTGCGGTGGCTCATGCCTATAAGAGCTCACTCCCAGCAATTTAGGAGGCCGAGGCAGGTGGATCGCTTGAGCCCAGAATTTCAAGACCAGTCTGGGCAACATGTTGAAGCCTGGTCTTCACTAAGAATACAAAAATAAGTCAGGCATGATGGTGCATGCCTGTTGTTCCAGCTACTAGGGGGACTGAGGCAGGGAGATCACCTGAGCCTAGGAGGTCAAGGCTGCAGTAAGCCGTGATCATGCCACTGCACTCCAATCTGGACAACAGAGTGAGACTTTGTCTCCAAATAAAATAAAATAAAATAAAATAAAATAAAATAAAATAAACTCAATATTTTTTAAAACTGTAATGTTTCCTTTCAAAGCTAAAATTGTATTATTCTAAATATATTTTAAAGAAGAAATGATTATTGTTCAGTGTCTTTAAAATTAGTTTTTAAAATCTCATTTGTTTTGACATTTCAAACCAAGTTAAGTATTCTTTTTCTCACCCTCCTTGAGACGGAGTCTTCCTCTTTCACCCAGGCTGGAGTGCAGTGGTGCATTCTTGGCTCACTGCAACCTTTGCCTCGCAGGTTCAAGCGATTCTCTTGCCTCAGCCTCCTGACTATCTGGGATTACAGGCACCTGTCACCACGCCAGGCTAATTTTTTGTATTTTTCGTAGAGACCGGGTTTCATCATGTTGGCCAGGCTGGTCTGGAACTCCTGACCTCGTGATCTGCCCACCTCGGCCTCCCAAAGTGCCAGGAATACAGGCATGAACCACCACACCTGGCCATTAACCATTCTTGAAATATCACGTTGCATTCTTTAAAAGTTCTAATCTTTCATATACATAAATTACAACACAAATATTTATACTCTAATAGTATTCACATTATAGTAAATTTTTTTTCATGCTCTGTCGCCCAGGCTGGAGTGAAGTGGTGCAATCTCGTCTCATTGCAACCCTCACCTCCCGGGTTCAAGTGATTGTCCTGCCTCAGCCTCCTGAATACCTGGGATTACAGGCGAATGCCACCACTCCCAGCAAATTTTGTGTATTTTTAGTAGAGATGGGGTTTCACCATGTTGGCCAGGCTGGTCTCAAAATCCTGAGGCTGCCTTGGCCTCCCAAAGTGGTGGGATTAGAAGTGTGAGACACCATGCCCGGCCATAATAATAAATTTTATTTTATCTTTTTTTTTGAGATGGAGTTTTGCTAGGGTTGCCCAGGCTGGAGTGCAATGGCTCAGTCTGAGCTCACCACAACCTCCACCTCCAGATTCAAATGATTCTCCCGCCTCAGCCTATCGAGTAGCTGCAATTACAGACGTGCGCCACCACGCCTGGCTAATTTTTTGTATTTTAAGTAGAGAAGGGGTTTCTTCATGTTGCTCAGGCTGGTCTCAAACTCCCAACCTCAGGTGATCCACCTGCCTCAGCCTCCCAAAGTGCTGGAATTACAGGCGTGAGCCACTGCACCTGGCTCATAATAGTACATTTTTGAAAACACCATAAAATATAATCCTTGCAACACTCAATTATACCATCTGGTCGGATCTATCAGCAGATGGCACCCGAGACATACGGATTGGAAATTTTGATCTTATTATGAATGAATCCAGTCCAGAAATGCCCACCCTGCCCCCTGCTGGCTCCTGGGGCTCTGCTCTTTGGGGGAATCATGATGAAATTGTGGCAGAGAGTAGAAGTTGAGCCCCATTGCATGCCCTGAGTTCTTGTTGCCTCTCTATTATCAGGAAAAGGAGGTGAGATTGAAAGATGAAAAGTGCTGGGACTTCTGCTGAGAAGAGAAAAAAGAACAAGATGTATTGATCTTACTGTATGCCAGACCCCATGCCAAGCCCTAAACATGAACCATCTCATTGGATCCTACCAAGGTCCCATAAGCTGTTGGACATCATCATCCTCATTTTACAGGAAGCTGAGGCTCTAGGCTAACATCCCTGACAGCAACACCAGCCCCTGAGTACTCAGCAGGATCCTTCACTTGGGTGCCCATTATGCAGAATTCCTCAGCACAGGGAAGGTCACTCATCACCCACAGGCCCTTGATCGTTATCCACCCTTTGATGCTGTCAGATTCCAGAACACGCTGCACTAGTACTAGTCTCTTCCTTCATAGGGAGAGAGGGGAGGTGTTATGAGAAAATCTCTCATCAATCTGACCTAGCTCCCCAAAAAGATGTAACTTTTAAAATGTCAGATGGAAATATTTAAAAAGTGTTACATGCCTGTATAGTTTTAGTATTTTACTTAAAGGGAATGTGGCTGTCTTTACTGGCTACAACCAGTTTAATTCAAGAAGGGCTGCTGGTCATCAGGAGAACAAGCAAGGGTTGATGCTGCCCAGAGTCTCCAGCTAATACACAATATGGACATCCCCTTCCAGGGCAGTGGGAAGAGAGTGGGTCCTTGTGCAGTGAAGCTGACATCCACCAAATAAGGCTTCTGGAAGCATGTGGAGACTCACAGGGAGTGGGCAGGGTCTCAGCATCTGGCTAGCGGTGAAAGACCCTGAGAAGAAGGTGCTGTCCGTGTGGATTGGCTCACTGTTCTTGCCCAGTAATGTTCCAGGCATTTGGTGTCCACCTAGTGTGTATTAACCCACTGAACAGCCACAGAAACTAACAAGGAGTTAACAGACATCTAAAGAAGTGAAGAACTAGAGGAGGCCAACCCAAGCGTGGTGGTCCACGCCTATACTCCCTGCATTTTGGGAGGCCAAGGCAGGAGAATCACAAGCTCAGGAGTTCCAGATCAGCCTGGGGAAGACAGCGAGGCCTTGTCTCTACTAAAAAGAAGTATCCAGGTGTGGTGGCTCACACAGCTGTAGTCCTAGCTACTCAGGAGGCTGAGGTGGGAGGATCACTTGAACCCAGGAAATTTAGGTTGCAGTGAGGTATGATTGTGCCACTGCACTCTAGCCTGAGTGACAGGAGACCTTTAAAAAACAAAAACAAAAAAAAGCCTGACACAGTGGCTCACACCTGTAACCCCAGCACTTTGGTAGGCCTACTTGCTTGAATCACCCAAAGTCAGGAGTTTGAGACCAGCCTGACCAACATAGTGAGGAAACCCTGTCTCTACTAAACATACACAAATTAGCTGGGCATGGTGGTGCATGCTTGTAATCCCAGCTACTTGGGAGGCTGAGGCAGAAGAATCATTTAAACCCCAGGTGGAGGTTGCAGTCAGCTCAGATGGCACCATTGCACTCTAAACTCCAGCCTGGGCAACAAGAGTGAAACTCTGTCTCCAATAAAAGAATGGGAGGAAACTGATTACAATAACCAAATTTCATTTAAATGCCTTGATTTTCTTGGGCTGCATCTTATTGATTGGACAACTCAGTCAGTGCCTTTTGTTTTTTCCATCAATAACTGAAGATTCCTGAGGCTTAAACTGGAAAACAGGTTACTTAATAATAGAGGGCACCAGACAGATTCTGCTCAGTTTTCCTTTATTTCTGATTGTTTCTTTACAACCATCCATGCAAGAGTAACTCCCTCATGTATTCTCAAGCCTGAATTCCACTCTAGACATTCAGATTCCCATTTTCGACTCTACAGGATACAGGTCCCCAAAGTCCCATCGAATCCATGGCAACATTTCCCCCAAGTCCTGCCCCTGCTTGATCAGCTTTCCTTTCCCACTTTCAGAGCCTATGTGTGAAATGATGGGTTCTGTGCTCCCTTTAGGATGTACCTAAGACCTAGGTTTTAGTTTCCAAGTGTCCAGAAGAAAGCGTTTGACATACCCATCCAAATAGGCAGGCATTCAACAGCAGTATTGATCTGCCTCCAGGTCATAAAATGACCTGTTGCCACAGTCAGGGCAGTTATCAATACAGAAAAAGATCCTCTTGGGGTGCCTTAAGTCCCTCACTCTGTTCATCAGCTCAGCCCTAATTTGAGCAAATCTGTTCCAGCAGAGAGTACCATCAGCACCATAACTCTCCCGCGGGGCAGGATACACCTCCACGCATAAGTTTTTGAGTATGATTGTGTGGCTCAGCAGGTTCTCCAGGGTGGCCATGGAGATGGGATTTCCACAGAAGCTGAAGGCATTGAGCTCAAAGCAGCGGCTCAGGGCAGGCAGGATGGCGTTGACTTGGGAGTCTATGATGCCACAGTCATCTAAATCCAAGTACTCAAGGGTGGCTGCAACTTTTTCTAGGAGAATTTGGAGAGGCACAAGACTGTAATTGGTCAGTCTGATGCCACTCAGGTCCAGGGTCTTTAGTTGACTGATACTCGGGCACTGGGATAGATGCTTCAAGTCTGATTCCAAAAGCACACAGTTAGTTATTGTGAGGAACTTTAACGAGGTCTTCAGACAGCTGGGGAGAGAGAGCAAGAAGTTAATTCTGGGGAATCATAGGGGTGAGTGGAGGGTGGTGGGGAATGGCTTCAAGGTAATGGATGGAGACCATTTTGCCCAAGTCCAGGGTCATTCTGATGGCCTGATGGTCAACACTTAGAATGATGTGTGATGAAGAGCTTTGCCACCGAGGTCAATTCCACCTTAGAGCCGGCCCAGTAACTCACACCTGTAATCCCAGAACTTTGGGAGGCTGAGACTGGTGGATTCCTTGAGATCAGGAGTTTGAGACCAGCCTGCTGAACATGGCAAAACCTCGTCTCTACTAAAAATCCAAAAATTAGCCAGGTGTGGTGGGGGGAGCCTGCAATTCCAGCTACTTGGGAAGCTGAGGCAGAAGAATCGTTTGAACCCAGGAGGTGTAGGTTGCAGTGAGCAGAGATCATGCCACTACACTCCAGCCTGGGTGACAGAGAGAGACTCTGTATTAAAAAAAAAGAAGGAAAAAAAATAATTCCATTTGAGGCTGAGTCATTTCACCATCATTTATAGGAATGGATCAAGTTCACAGAATCCCTAAAGCTCCCTTTCCTCATCTGTCAGGCAGAAAACCACATCCCTGGGCCACAGAAGCCCAGTGGAGATTCAGGCATAAAGGACAAACCCAGACAGGATCCTGCAACATCAGCTGGGGTGGGCGGGCTGTAGGCGTCCCTGCCATGCCTGTATCATCAGCAAACCATCTATCACTTTCACCATTCTTTGTGCCTGCTCCCTGACCCTCTGTTTCAGAATCATGCATTGCCTAGGTAATTAATTTACCTGGAGCTCAAAACACTTTTACAACAGGGAATTAGAGATGGGATCATTCATGTTCACCAAACTATGGGGCACAAAGCTGATTTTCTGACATGTGCAGGTTTGCTGAGCATTCCCCTCTTCAGTGCCCACTTCACTT
The DNA here is from genome assembly GCF_000001405.40 of Homo sapiens. Lineage (NCBI taxonomy): Eukaryota > Metazoa > Chordata > Mammalia > Primates > Hominidae > Homo > Homo sapiens. The sequence goes on along the minus strand of NT_187517.1, from coordinate 121,081 downwards.
CCCTACTTTACATCATCTGCTTAAAAATTATCTTGTTGGCTGGGCGTGGTAGCTCTCGCCTATAATCCCAGCACTTTGGGAGTCCAAGGTGGGCGGATCACCTGAAGTCAGGAGTTGGAGAATATCCTGGCCAACATGGTGAAACCCTGTCTCTACTTAAAATATAAAAATTAGCCAGGTGTGCTGACTCATGCCTGTAATCCCAGGCACTCAAGAGGCTGAGGCAGGAGAATCGCTTGAACCTGGGAGGCAGAAGTTGCTGCGAGCTGAGATGTCACAAGTGCACTTTACCCTGGATGATCAAAGTGAAAATTCATCTCAGAAAAAAAAAAAGTTATCTTGTTTGTTTTTACTTTTATTTCTTCACTTCTGACAGGGGTCTTGGGATGTTACCCAGACTGGTCTTAAACTCCTAGGCTCAAGCTATCCTCTTGCCTCAGACTCCCAAAGTGATAGGATTACAGGCATGAGCCACCGCCCCTGGCCTATTTTTCATCATCTTAACTTAGACACACGTCCTCAGGAAGAATTCAGAAAGGCACCCTCACTAGATCTGAACCCCCCAGTAGCTAGCTTCCTAGTATGACAACCTCTCTATAGCATCTCCCCTAGCTGATCCCTCTGCCTCTATTGGGATGGTTGCATGATACCCATTTCAGGACAGGGCCGCCAACAGGACAATGTATGGACATTCTAGTGTCCCCTTCACTGTTACATCCTCATAGGCTGGCTCACAGTAGATGCCCACTAGCGTTTAGTGAAACAGGCTCTGCTGTGGTCTGCAGAGAAAGCTCACCACCCTCCCTCACCTGAGCAGCTGGTCCAGGTGGCCTTCGAGGAAAGAAACAGAGTTCATATAAAGCTTTTGGAGGCAGTGCAGCTTGAGGAACTGAGTGGTGAACTGGGTAACAATCTCCTTCTTCTGCTCTGGGGAAACGTAGCGAGAGACATCCATGTGAGAGAGAACGAGCTTCTGAAGATTCCTCATGTGGCCCAGGTATGGGGTAAACTGTGTCAGGATGGGCAGTACCCACTTGCAATTCACTTCCACCTCCTGGATACAGTCTAGGTTCACCATTTTCAGGATGCTTCTGATATTGCGGAAGGGCATTCCCAAAATTTTCAGCTTCTTACAGCACAGGTGTAGTAAATCTTTCCTCTGCTTGACCCATAGAAGGAGGTAGGTGAGGTATTCATCCAGAGTCCTGTTCTTGAGCCAAAGTTCTACGAACACAGTCAAGGGCTGCTGTCCTCTCATCCTTGGACAGTCCTGCACTGGTGTTTTGTTCCTCTTGGCATTGAGGAAGGACCCACGGGCCATAGCTTCAGACCAAACCATCCAGAAGTTCTCACAGACATCCTGTAAATCCAGCACTTGAAGTTTCCACCTCCTGTGGGAAAATAGAGGTGAGACTGAGAATTTAAGAACTCATTTCTGAATTTAAACTCCACATCCTGGATAGCAGCTCCTCCCCTCCCTGCTTCTTGTCCCTCTCTCTGACTTTTCTTCACTCTGTTCTCCCCTTGGATCCTACCCACTTCCACATTTTTTTGTTTTTTTTTTTGAGACCAAGTCTCCCTCTGTCGCCCAGGCTAGAGTGCAGTGGTGTGATGTCACCTCACTGCAACCTCTGCTTCCTGGGTTCAAATGATTCTCCTGCCTCAACCTCACAAGTAGCTGGGATTACAGGAGCCCACCACCATGCCCAGCTAATTTTAGTATTTTTAGTAGAGTTGGGGTTTACCATGTTGGACAGGCTGGCCTCCAACTCTTGACCTCAGCCTCCCAATGTGCTGGGATTACATTGTGAGCCACCGTGCCCGGCCCAGTTCTCACTTTTCATGGTGCCTTTCAGTGCCATTAGAGGAGAGGTTCCTGTTACCTCCATGGACCTTGCGTGGTGAGCAGTGCTTTCCCTGAGGAGCTGGTGAATGGCCAAGTCCTCTCGGCTTCCTCACCACCACCATCCCCCTTGGGCCTCCTCACTTCACATGACCCAGCTGTTCCTTCAGTTGGACACCTGGGCCCTCCCCACCAGCCCACCTGGGCCACCTCACCTGGGACAAACCCCTTGGGTAAGCAGTGCATCAAGCCCATCGAGCACAGCTTGGAAGGCCTCCAGACAAGGCATCTTTATCAGAGGCCTCAGAGGGAGGCGGCGGAAGGGCCAGGCCTGCACCATCAGCTTCAGGGCCTCACAGCATCTCCTGCTGAAGGCCTCCATGAACAGTGGGGGGAAAAGTTCTGTGGGCAGCTCCTCCAGGGTGGACATGGCCAAGGCTTGGTCCCTCAGCAGGCTCCGCCCCGCAAGCTCCAGGAGTCTGGGTGGAGTCCGGATGCTCATCTTCATGAATCTGCAGGGAAAACTTCCAGAGGACAAACCCAGAGAAAAGGCATCACTCTCAGGCCAAGCCCATGCAATCTCATCTTCTCCTATGGCCAAACTCACTGCTCTGGCAATGGTGAAACAGCCCTCAGTTTACTCCAATTCTGCCCTGTACTCAGTGGCCATTAAGCCAGCATTGTGCCTCTGCTGCATCAGCATGAGCGTCTCCGAAGCAGTGAGGAAGCAGGGTCACCACGAGCCCTTCCTTTCTATCCAGTGCTCCATCCAGTGACTAGTGAGTGTGGAGGAACCTGAAAGTGAACCCCTCCTACCATTGGGGGAAATTACTGATTACTCAAGGTTCTAAAACAATGGGAATGGGAGTGTCACAAGCCTACATGCCCACATTTTCAGTTCCTACAAATAAGTTTGTTGGGAACATTCATGGGACATCCCTAGAACAGGTTCTATTTGTTTTCTTTTCATTATTTAAGCTTGCTTTCTCTTTCTCTCTCTTTCTTCTTTCCTTCTTTCCCTCTCTCCCTCCCTTCTTTCTTTCTTTCCCCCTCTCTCTCCCTTCTTTCTTTCTTGTCTTCTTTCCCTGCATCCCTTCTCTCATTCTCTCTCTCTTTCTCTCTCTCCCTCTCTCACTCTTTCTGACAGGGTCTTGCTCTGTCACCCAGCCTGGAGTGTAGTGGTGGGATCTCAGCTCAGTGCAGCCTTGACCTCCCAGCTCAAAGGATTCTTCCCCCTCAGCCTCCCAAGTAGCTGGGACCACAGTTATGCATCACCACACCCAGCTCATCTTTTATGTTTTGACTTTTTGTAAAGACAGTGGATTTCGCTATGTTGTCCAAGCTGGTCTTGAACTCCTAGTCTCAAGCAATCTACCCCTCTTGGCCTCCCAACATACTGGGATTATAGGTGTGAGCCTCTGCCCCAGCCTCGTTATTGAAAATTTCAGTGAGAAGCTTTGAAAGCTATGTGACACTGTTATGCATCATTCTCAAGATAGATGTTTCCAATGCACACCTCTTACACATATTCAAACTGAACCACTTTGGCTGGGTGCAGTGACTCACACCTGTAATCTGAGCATTTTGTGAGGCCGAGGCAGGTGGATCATCTGAGATCAGGAGTTCAAGACGAGCCTGGCCAACATGGTAAAACCCTGCCTCTACTAAGACAGCAAAAATTAGCCAGGTGCAGTGGTCTGCGCCTGTAGTCCAAGCTACTAGGGAGGCTGAGGTAGGAGGATCACTTGAACCCAGGAGGCAGAAGTTGCAGTGAGCTGACATTATACTACTCCACTCCAGCCTGGGGAATAGGCTAGATTGAACTGAGAGACAGAGAGAGCTACATTTGACTAGACTTCTTAATCTCTACCCAGTTAATCCTTATTGGATTTTTGGCTTTCTTAAAGAATAACTGATCGAATTAGATATTAATCCATCAAAATGAAAGATTTAGGGATAGGGTGAAAGTCCAGGACTCATTCACCGATTCCCTTCACAAACATGGACTTCCACTAATATGTGTCCTTCAAAGTCCTGAGTGTGAGACAGGGAAGGGTTGAATCTCTTCCTGATATTAGACAGAAAGAAAGAAAACTTGAAAGTATCTTTGTTGAGGGATCCTTGGCCACATCAAATTTATCAAAATATTTCAGAGTTAAAACAGTTTTCAAAGACAGAGATGACAGTCCCTAAGAAAACACAATAGAAATCTTCATGTATCCGATGATCACCTGGGTCATATAATTTTTTTTGGTGCTGAGGGAGCTGAGTCTCACTTCGTCGCCCAGGCTGGAGTGCAGTGGCACCATCTTGGCTCACTGTTACCTCCAAGATTGCCTCCAAGATTCAAGCAATTCGCATGCTTCAGCCTTCCACGTAGCTGGGACTACAGGCAGGCACCCCCCACAGCCATGTCTCCATTTGGGTGGAAGAGGATGTGATTGGTTTAAAATTAAGGTCAAAGATCCTTTTTGATTGATTTTGTTTTTGTTTTTGGACAGAGTGTCTCTCTTTTGCCCAGGCTGGAGTACAGCAGTGGTGTGAGCATAGCTCACTGCAGCCTCAATCTTCTGGACTCAAGTGATTCTCCCACACCAGCCACCCAAATAGCTGGGACTACAGATGCATGGTGACTCACAGCTGTAATCCCAGCACTTTGGGAGGCCAAGGCAGGTGGATCACTTGAGGTCAGGTGTTCGAGACCAACCTGGCCAGCGTGGTGAAACCCCACCTCTACTAAAAATACAAAAATTAGCCAGGCATGGTTTCAGATGTCTGTGACACCAGCTTCTGAGGATGGAGACTGAGGCATGAGAATTGCTTGAACCCAGGAGTTAAAGGTTGCAGGGAGTTGAGATCGTGCCACTGCACTCCAGTCTGGGCAACACAGTGAGACTCCATCTCCACCCTCAAAAAAAACGTTGTGTAGAGGAGGGTTTTTGTCATGTTGCCCAGGTTGGTCTCAAACCCCTGGGCTGAAATGATCCTCCCACTTTGGCCTCCCAAAGTGTTGGGGTTAAAGGCGTGAGTCACTGCTCCCTTCAAGAATTTTAAAATGGCATCAACCAAAGCACAATCAACTTTTTTGAAATAAAGACAGAACTGCATTTAGAGGAAAAAATTCAAAGCTTCAAATTGTTCATATATATATATAAAAAAGGACAGGATATAGCTCTGTGCCATCGTAGGCTGCACTGTCACCATCCCAGACTGACTGACTCTAGGTCAGATGGGAGTGTCCTTACAGAAATTAGTGACTTACCAGATCTGGATGTAGTTTAGAAGGTGCTCAGACCTCAGGAAGAACCAGGCAGGAACTCCAGGCTTGAAGACTTTGGGTCTCTCCTGTGGGTCTTTAGAAGCTTTTATTGACCTTTCTAATCACAACTCCCACCCACGCCCTTCCACGTGTGCACTGCTAGCTTCCAATCAAAAAGCCATATCTGATTGCATTTCTGAAGCTCCACCCAGTTAATCCTGATTGGGTTTTTGGCTCTCCCCAGATTAATGGATTGAGTCAGATATCCATTCATATCACATATCTATATTCAGTTCGTGAAGCAAGAAATTGACAGTGTTAGGGATAAGGTAGAAGTCAAGAATACATTGATTCACTGGTGGGCAAGGTGGCTCATACCTGTAATTCCAGCACTTTGGAAGGACAAGGTGAGTAGATCACCTGATGTCAGGGGTTCAAGACCAGTCAGGTCAAAAAGGTGAAACCCCGTCTCCACAAAAATACAAAAATACAAAAATTAGCCCGGCATGATGGCAGGTGCCTGAAACACAGCGACTCAGGAGGCTGAGGCAGGAGAATTGCTTGAACCCAGGAGGCAATGGTTGCAGTGAGCCAGAATTGTGCCACTGCACTCCAGTCTGGGTGACAGAGGGAGATTCTGTCAAAAAATAAAAAAATCATTCATTCATGAACTCCACAAACACTGATTTTTTTTTATTAATATGTGAACTTCATAGTCTTGAGTGTGAGGCAGGGAAGGATTTGATCTGTTTACGACATTAGACAGAAAAATAAAATCTGAAAGTAGTGTTGTTAGGAGATCTTTGGCCACATCAAAATATAAAAATGCTTTCTACTTTAAAACTTTTTAAAAACAGAGGAGTCGTCCCTACGAAATCAGAATAAAAATCTCAATGTACTGAATGGTCTTTGGGATTTTGTATAACCTAAGGTAGCAGATTACATGCTCGTTCTGGTGGAGGAGAGGTGCCACTGAGGGCGTGAGTGGTCTCAGGGCTTAGGTTAAGGCTTCTTTGGAAGAAATTGAAACCACATCTCTAAAATTTATAAATTTAATCAGTGAAGAAGGGAGGGAGAGAAACAAAAATAAACCAAGCTTGCAACACATTCAGCATTCATCAGGAGGTCTTCTTGCTCTCTGACCTGGTTCCTCATGGTTGCCGCAACCTACTGTTCCAAAATCATATAGACCTTAGATTACAGTTCCCCTTAACTTCCCTGCAGACAACCATTTAAGCATTGTAAAACATTAACTTTTTCATCTGAGATATTCTTTCAGGTTCTGCATGTCAGTGAAACTGCTGATGCCAGCTGATCTGAAGGGCCATGCAATGCACCAACTCACCAAAGAATGCAGTTTCTACATCCTGTTGACTTCTTCCCTCTTACCGCTACCCCAACTTTCTGGCCCCTTGCTATCCAGGATCCACTGGAAACCTTCAGTACTCCTTGGGGAGATGAATTTGAGGATCTCCTCCTAGCTTCTCATTCAGCCACCTTGTGATCATTAAACTCTCTGCTGCAAACCCTGCTGTCTCAGAATATTGCTAAACTACTGTGCAGCAGGCATAGGAACCTGATGGTCCTTTAATAAAGTCATGTCAAAATTACAAATGGAAGTGAGGGTGGAGCTGGTCAGGGTTGAGCTGGGTTTTTAATGGGAACCTGGGAGTGAAGCAAGACTTGCAGGTCACATTGGGCAGGCTTCCAAATTCACCACCTATGGAAGGTCTTTCGCTTGGCTTACATCCTGTCCCTGAGTAAAGAGTCTGATCATGAGTTCATGAGTGCTTCAAACTCTACAAGTATTGATGAAGGCTTCCACCCACTGACAGTGAGAAGGCACTGATTTGATGGTGATCATGAAGTTCTGCTGGTTGTCTTGCAAGGAATATGTTTTATTCTTTTATCTTGTCATCTAAAGCCAATGATTGTAACCTCTGTTTGTCCCTTCCAATGGAAAAAACAAAAACAAAAAGTCAACTCTATTTGAGCCTTGTCAGGTCTATAAAACAAAAGAAAATTTAAAAAAATAATTGATAGGAGGAGTCCCATTCCCAGCCTGGGCAATAGAGTGAGACTCCATCTCAAAAGGAAAAAAAAAAAAAAAGGCCGGGCACGGTGGTGGCTCACACCTCTAATCCCAGCACTTCAGGAGGCCAAGGCAGGTAGATCACGATGCCAAAAAATTGAGACCATCCTAGCCGACATGGTGAAACCCTGTCTCTGCTAAAAATACAAAAATTAGCTGAGCATGGTGGCGCCCACCCATAGTCCTAGCTACTCGAGAGACTGAGGCATGAGAGTCGCTTGAACTCAGGAGGAGGAGGTTGCAGTCAGCCAAGATTTCACCACTGCACTCCAACTTGGTGACAGAGCGAGACTCCGTCTCAAAACAAACAAACACAAACGAACAAACAAACAAAGAAAAAAGCTGGAAAAATAAATTCTGAAAGAATTTCCATCTCTATGAATTCATCTTCAGAAGTGATAGCATTTCCTGCTTGGCATTTTTTGCCTACATTTTTGGCATAAGATCTAACAACAAAAAGTATGAGCCCAGGTTTGTGTAATGGAATATCTTAAACGTCAATAGGAGGAGTCAATAGTTCTGATGCCACACACACACACGTATGGTCTTCTCCATCATCAGAAAATGGCAACAAAGTGGTAGAGTTATGCAGAGTGTAGCATTTGAAATGGAGATTTGAAGGTGACAAGGAAAGGATTTTGTAAGACATTAGTGTACAAGTTGAGCAATGTTGGTTCCTGTCACAATATTTTTATTGATTTATTTATTTTATTCATTTATTTTTTGAGATGGAGTCTCGCTCCGTCACCAGGCTGGAATGCAGTGGCACGATCTCAGCTCACTTCGACCTCTGCCTCCCCAGTTCAAGCAATTTTCCTGCCTTAGCCTCCTAAATAGCCGGGACTACAGGTGCATGCCACTACACCTGGCTAATTTTTTGTATTTTTAGTAAAGACGGGGTTTCACCATGTTAACTAGGATGGTCTCAATCTCCTGACTTCGTGGTCTGCCCGCCTCGGCCTCCCAAAGTGCTGGGATTACAGGCCTCAGCCACCATGCCTGGTCGGTTCACATCAAAATTTAAGAGGTATTCAATTGCATATGAAATTTGTAGGCAAAGTTTATTTCTTTTTTCTTTAAAGCATTAATTAATTTATTTATTTATAATATATTTATTTATTAATTTTTTTTTGAGATGGAGTTTCACTCTTGCTTTCCAGGCTGGAGTGCAATGGTGCGATCTCGCCTCACTGCAACCTCTGCCTCCCGGTTCAAGTGATTCTCCTGCCTCAGTCTTCCAGTTAGCTGGAATTACAGGCACAGGCCACCACACACAACTAGTTTTTGTATTTTTAGTAGAGAGAGAGTTTCACCATGTTGCCCAGGCTGGTCTGGAACTGCTGACCACAGGTGATGCACCCACCTCGGCCTCTGAAAGTGCTGAGATTACAGGCGTGAACCAGTTAGTGCCTGGCCTAAACTCATCACTTTTAATACTTTCTACATCACATGAGGAAGAAGAGCAGAAACACTTGAGTACTTCATGAAGGTCAAGGTTGGTATGAGTTTGGGTTCTAATATGATCAATTTCTGCTTCTAGGGAACCAAGCAGTTCAGGTTAAGGAAGGTCAGGAAGCTATTTTAACTATAAAGCATTTTTAAAATATTGATGTGGCCAAAGATCTCCCAACAACACTATTCTCAGGTTTTATTTTTCTGTCTAATGTCCAGAACAGATCAACCCCTTCCCTGCCTCACACCCAGGGCTATGAAGGTGACATATCAGTAAAATTCCATCAGTGCTTGTGGAGTTCGTGAATGAAGGCATTCTGTTGTTGTTGTTGTTGTTGTTGTTGTTGTTGTTGACAGAGTCTCCCTCTGTCACCCAGTCTGGAGGGCAGTGTGCAATCTCGGTTCACTGCAACCTCAGCCTCCTGGGTTCAAGCAATTCTCCCACCTCAGCCTCCCAAGTATCCGGATTACAGGCAGCCGCCATCATGCCCGGCTAATTTTGTATTTTTGTAGAGACAGGGTTTCACCATATTGGCCAAGCTTGTCTTGAACTCCTGACCTCAGGTGATCCGCCTGTCTTGGCCTCCCAAAGTGCTGGGATTACAGGCATGAGCCAACTCAGCTGGCCTTAAATGAATGAATTCTTGATTTCCACTCTATCCCTAATGCTGTCAATTTCTTGATTCATGAAATGAATATGGGTATGTGATATGAATGGATATTTGGTTCAATCCATTAATCTGGGGAAAGCCAAAAACCCAATCAGGATTAGCTGGGTGGAACTTCAGAAATGCAATGAGATATTGCTTTTTGATTGGAAGCTAGCAGTGCATACGTGGAAGGGCGTGGGTGGGAGTTGTGATTAGAAAGGTCAATAAAAGCTTCTAAAGACCCACAGGAGAGACCCAAAGTCTTCAAGCCTGGAGTTCCTGCTTGGTTCTTCCTGAGGTCTGAACACCCTGCAAACTGAGCCCAGATCTGGTAAGTCACTAATTTCTGTAAGGACACTCCCATGGGACCTACAGTCAGCCGATGTAGCATGGTGACAGTGCAGCCTACGACAGAGCAGAGCTATATCCTGTCTTTTTTTTCTTTTTTTCATATGAACACTTTGAAGCTTTGATTTTTTTTTCTAAATGCAGTTTTGTCTTTATTTCAAAAATGTTGATTGTGCTTTTCTTTACGTCATTTCAGAATTCTTGTTGGGAGCCATTTTGTGAAGAGACGAAGACTGAGCTGGTTTGGCTGCATTTCTGGCCTCGAGCCGCAGTCAGCTTCTCCACGTAGAACCCGGCAGTAGGAGACTTAGAATCGAATCTCTTCTCCCTCCCGCCTCCTGTTTTTGGCTTTTTGAGAAACCTTATCATCCAACACAATGGCCAGCAACGTTACCAACAAGATGGATCCTCACTCCATGAACTCCCGTGTGTTCATTGGGAATCTCAACACTCTTGTTGTCAAGAAATCGGATGTGGAGGCGATCTTTTCCAAGTATGGCAAAATTGCGGGCTGCTCTGTTCATAAGGGCTTTGCCTTCGTTCAATATGATAAGGAGAAAAATGCCCGGGCTGCTGTAGCAGGAGAGGATGGCAGAATGATTGCTAGCCAGGTTGTAGATATTAACCTGGCTGCAGAGCCAAAAGTGAACCGAGGAAACGCAGGTGTGAAACGATCAGCAGCAGAGATGTACGGCTCCTCTTTTGACTTGGACTATAACTTGCAACGGGATTATTATGGTGGGATGTACAGTTTCCCAGCACGTGTACCTCCTCCTCCTCCCATTGCTCTGGCTGTAGTGCCCTCGAAACGCCAGCGCATATCAGGAAACACCTCACGAAGGGGCAAAAGTGGCTTCAATTCTAAGAGTGGAAAGCGGGGATCTTCCAAGTCTGGAAAGCTGAAAGGAGATGACCTTCAGGCCATTAAGCAGGAGTTGACCCAGATAAAACAGAAAGTGGATTCTCTCCTGGAAAACCTGGAAAAAATTGAAAAGGAACATTGCAAGCAAGGAGTAGAGGTAAAGAATGCTAAGTCTGAAGAGGAGCAGACCAGCAGCTCCTCGAAGAAGGATAAGACTCACGTGAAGATGGAGTCTGAGGGGGGTGCAGATGACTCTGTTGAGGAGGGGGACCTACTGTGTGATGATGATAATGAAGATCAGGGGGACAACCAGCTGGAGTTGATCAAGGATGATGAAAAAGGGGTTGAGGAAGGAGAGGATGACAGAGACAGGGCGAATGGCCAGGATGACTCTTAAGCACATAGTGGGGTTGAGAAATCTTATCCCATTGTTTCTTTACCTAGGTGCTTGTCTAACATCAAATTTTTCACCAGATCCTCTCCCTTAGCATCTTCAGCACATGCTTACTGTTCTCCCCATCCTTGTCCTTCCCACATTCATTAATTCATATTGCCCTGCACCTAGTTCCATTTTCACTTCCCTTGATGCTCCTAGAAGTTTTCTTAAGTCTTACCCTGCAATTTTTGCTTTTAATTTAGATACCTCCTTATGACTTAACAGTAAAAAGGATGTATGGTTTTTATCAACTGTCTCCAAAATAATCTCTTGTTATGCAGGGAATACAGTTCTTTTCATTTATACATAAGTTCAATAGTTGCTTCCCTAACTGCAAAGGCAATCTCATTGAGTTGAGTAGCTCCTGAAAGCAGCTTGGAGTTAGAAGTATGTGTGTTACACCCCATGTCAGTGTGCTGTGTGGGGCAGTTCAACAAAAATCTAACAATGTATTTTTGTGAATGAGAGTTGGCATGTCAAATGCATCCTCAGAAAAATAATTAGTGTTATACTCTTAAAATGTGTTTTCTAAAGTTGATACTGTGGGTTATTTTTGTGAACAGCTCCATGTTTGGGACCTTTTTTCCTCAAAATAAACAAGTCCTTATTAAACCAGGAATTTAAAGAAAAAAATTCTTGGTGGGAGCAGTGACTCATGCCTACAATTCCAACACTTTGGGAGGCCAAGGCAGGAGGATCATTTGAGCCCAGGGGCTCGAGACCAACCTGGGCAACATGGCAAAACCCTATCTCTACAAAACATTTGTTTTGAGGGGTGGGGATGGTATCTGGCTCTGTTACCCAGGCTGGAGTGCAGTGGCATGATCTCAACTCACTCAAACCTCTGCCTCCCAGGCTCAAGCGATTCTCATGCCTCAGCCTCCTGAGTAGCTGCGATTATAGCCACCCGCCACCATGCCTGGCTAATTTTTATATTTTTGGTAGAAACAGGGTTTCACCATGTTGGCCAGGCTGGTCTTGAACTCCTAACCTCAAGTGATCCACCTGCCTTGGCCTCCCAATGTGCTGGGATTACACCAGTGAGCCACCAACGCCCTGCTTCTTTTTTAAAAAATTAGCCGGGCATGGTGGCATGGATCTGTAGTCCCAGCTACTTGGGTGGCTGAGGTGGGAGAATCCCTTGAGCTCAGAAGATTGAGGCTGCAGTGAGCCATGTTCACACCACTGCTGTACTCCAGCCTGGGCAACAGAGTGAGACCTTGTCAAAAAAAAAAATCTTAACCAAACAGTTTTTTAAGAAAACCAATTAATTGTAATCAGTAGGCAGATCCCAAATTCCCCAAAAAAAGAAGAGAAAGAGAGTTTAGAAGGCTCTATGTGCTAGCATCCCATTCAGACTGTTTAATCCTACAATTGTGGTTTTGTAAGAAAAACAGTCTTAAAGATTTCCAATAATTCCCACAATGGCCATAAATTATCCTGGGTGTCATTTTCCCATCAATTTAAAAAGGCACATGAGAGGCCGAGTGCAGTGGCTCAGGCCTGTATTCCCAGCACTTTGGGAGGCTGAGGCGGGTGGATCAGCTGAGGTCAGGAGTTCAAGACAAGCCTGGCCAACATGGAGAAACTCCATTCCTACTAAAAATACAAAAAAGAGCCAGGCGTGGTGGCGGGCACCTGTAATCCCAGGTACTCAGGAGGCCGAGGCAGGAGAGGCACTTGAACCCAAGAGGTAGAGGTTGCAGTGAGCCGAGATCATGCCATTGCACTCCAGCCTGGCCACAGAGCCAGACACTATCTCCAAAAATAATAATAATTATTATAACAGCATGTCTATTCTCTCCAAAGTGTCTGGGACTGGACAATTAATTGTGAGGTCCTCTTCTGTAGCACCATACGCTATAACATATATGTGGATTTAAATAAATACACATACAAAATGCAAGTATATAGTCTATATGCTTTCCATATACTTATGTTCCATGAGGTCACAAGCAAATTCAAGGCTAGGTCAAAGAGTAGAGTGGCTGTCTATGGAAAGGAGAGTGGAAGTGAATCATGGTAATAAATGGAAATAGATACAGATATGAATAGGTAGACATACACACATATAGCTGCAAGAAACGGGGTTGTCGTGGACCAATGATGTCAGTGAGCCATGTAAAAAGGCTACAATTCTTGCGATTGTGTGTCCGTTTTCAGGATGGGTTGTAGATTACCTTTTTAGAAAGGCTGATGCCACAGTCATAGTCAAAAAAATGATTATAAAATTTGCTTCCTTTCTGGAGCATCTCTGGAGAAATCTCCAATGGGAGGAGAACTCAGTTACTGGGCAGGTTATCACACAGGTAAGATTTTACTGATCCAATGGCACTAATATTAACTTCATTATCCTTCGTATTCTACAAAGGTTGAGTGAACAAACTGTATCTTGAAACTAAAATTAGCTGAACCAATAAAGGAGACTGCATTCTTTTTATTTTTTGTTTAGAGACAGAGTCTCTGTTGCCCAGGCTGGAGTACAATGGTGCTACCTTGGCTCACTGCAACTTCTGCATCCTGGGTTCAAGTGGTTCTCCTGCCTCAGCCTCCTGAGTAGCTGGGATTACAGGCACATGTCACCACACTGAGCTAACTTTTGTATTTTTAGCAGAAAGGGGGTTTCTCCATGTTGGCCAGGTTGGTCTCAAACCTCTGACCTTGGGATCTGCCTGCCTCAGCCTCCTAAAGTGCTGGGATTATAGGCGTGAGCCACCATGCCTGGTTGAATCTTTTTTACTTTTCTCAAGCATGGTGTCATAGTATTGGGTTCTATGCACTTAGAAGAGTGAGCCCATCGTTCAGTAACAATATGAATCAATACTGCAAGACCTTGATGCAGTATTTGAAAGACTATTTCCACTAGGTGAAGGAGGCTTTCAGTGATGCTTAGACCTTCATGCCCTAGCATTTGGAGATTGCATCCTTTAGAAATGACACCAAGGGCAATCTGCCCATGAACAGCATTGGATGGGACTGTACCAGATGACTTAAACTTAAGGATATCTGAGGAAAAGCCTTCCCTAGAAGCACACATCATCACCTGGTAGACAGCTTTTCCAAGACAATGGAACAAGACTCCATTTGATCTTCTTCCATTGACTGAGACTTGGTTTTGTTTTGTATTAACACAAAATTATCAAACCTATATTTTATGTTGTTAGGTACTTTCACCACTCAAACCAAACACTTTCTAAGATCTTCTGTTCAAAATGTAGCCACTCTCACTAACCAAAGCAATTGCTGGCTATGGAGTCATTTAGATGAAAGGGAAGGATCACACTTAATACTACAACCTGCTTTCGTACACAGTTGGGTAGCAATTGAGGATGCTAAGTTCATGATAAGATTTGTTATCCTTCCTTTGGTAGGTTGGTTAATATTGATAATTAAATGACTTGGCATTGAGAAGAAGCTATAGGTGCAAATGAGTGGTCTATGACTATTATTGATTTCATTACTGGTAACTTATCTCTATGCATAGAAAACATTAGTGTAACTGGGTCTAATCTAGATGGTGTGCCAGACTCACACTAGAATAAACTCTGGTTTGACGCATATTATGAAGGCTGGAACGCTATAGTTATCGACATAGACACAGAATCAGAACATGACCATGTTACCCTCTGCCATATAATCAGAGAAACTTACTGAAACTAGATATTGGTTCATTGGAGATTCTAGAGGGAAATAGAATGCATCTATAGCTCTAGTATATGAAATAAATATTAGTTTTGTTTATTGGGTGCATCAATACTCAGGACATATTTGGAGAGGAACCTACTCATTCTTCTATGGAGATGACATGCAAGGATTACTTTATAAAAGACATAGAAATATTTTTTCTTCCCACCCCAATTCAAACCATTACCATACAACCTTGTGTCAATAGAAGATAAGGCTGTTGAGGTAGAAATAATTAACGAAAGCTTCACTGGAAGCTAAATGTGAGGATTGACCTGGAAGACACACACTGACAAAGTGGGTGTTTTCCAAAGTCTGTTACAAGTTGGAATGCTTTTGTAAGAAAGGTTAAAAGAAGGGAATGGGACTCCTCCTATCAGTTTGTTTTTAAATTTTCTTTTGTCTTATTGACCTGGCAAGGCTCAAATAGAATTGAGTTTTTGTTTTTGTTTTTTTCCATTGGACGGGACAAGACAGAGGTTACAATCATTGGCTTTAGATGACAACATAACAGGATAAAACGTATTCCTTGCAAGACAACCAGCAAAACTTCATGATCAGAATCAAATCAGCGTCCTTCTCACTGTCAGTGGGTGAAGCCTTCATCAGTAGTTGTGGGGTTTGAGGCACTCATGAACTCATGATCAGACACTTTGCTCAGGGACAGGATGTAAGCCAATCGAAAGACCTTCCCACAGGTGGTTAATTTGGAAGCCTGCCCAATGTGCCCTGCAAGTTTTCACTGGCAATATGCAGGTGCAGATATGACAAGGAATAACCATGGCCTTTACATCACCCCCAGCTGTTGAGGAATGGGATCCTTTTGACCCTTTCTGTCCATAGAACCAGGTTACTCATCTTGTGTGGCAACAAAATATATGGTCTACTTAACAGAGAAGAGGACTCTGTAAAAAAAAAAAAAAAATGTATTATGAAGTAAGCAAAGAAATGGGAATAGATGTGAGATTATTCGGGGAGATAAAGGAAGTTGAAGGTTTTGAAAGGAAATATAAGGAGGATTATATAAATTGTTTTGAAAGACTCATACTTGGTCATAAGGATCAAAACCAAAGGGGCATCCATGCAATGTTGGATAGATTCATCCTCCACCCACTCAATAACCCCCAACATGTTCAGCAAGTCTTGGTTCACTCCCAGGTTCCCATTAAAAACCCAGCTCAACCCTGACCAGCTCCACCCTCACTTCCATTTGTAATTTTGACATGACTTTATTACAGGACCATCAGGTTCCTATGCCTGCTGCACAGTAGCTTAGCAATATTGTGAGACAGCAGGGTTTGCAGCAGAGAGTTTAATGATCACAGGGTGGCTGAATGAGAAGTTAGGAGGAGATCCTCAAATTCATCACCCCAAGGAGTACTGAGCATTTCCAGTGGATCCTGGATAGCAAGGGACTGGAAAGTTGGGGTAGCGGTAAGAGGGAAGAAGTCAACAGGATCTAGAAACTGCATTCTTTGCGTTAGTGCCTTGCAGGGCCCATTTAGATGAGCTGGCATCAGTAGTTTCACTGACATGCAGAATCTGAAAGAATATGTCAAATGAAAAAAGTTAATGTTTCACAATGCTTAAATTGTTGTCTGCAGGGAAGTTAAGGGGAACTGTAATCTAAGGTCTATATGATTTTGGAACAGTAGGCTGCCAGCAACCATAAGGAACCAGGTCAGAGAGCAAGCTGACCTCCTGATGAATGCTGAATGTGTTGCAAGCTTGGTTTATTTTTGTTTCTCCCCCTCCCTTCTTCACTGATTAAATTGATGAAGTTTATAGTTGTGGTTTCAATTTCTTCCAAAGAAGCCTTAACCTAAGCCCTGAGACCACTCACGCCCTCAGTGGCACCTCTCCTCCACCAGAACGAGCATATAATCTGCTACCTTAGGTTATATAAAATCCCCAAGACCATTCGATAAATTGAGATTTTTATTCTGATTTTGTAGGGATGACTCCTCTGTTTTTATAAAGCTTTTTAAAGTATAAAGCATTTTTATATTTTGATGTGGCCAAAGATCTCCTAACAACACTGCTTTCAGATTTTATTTTTCTGTCTAATGTCGTTAACAGATCAAATCCTTCCCTGCCTCACACTCAAGACTATGAAGTTCACATATTAGTAAAGTTCCATCAGTGTTTGTGGAGTTCATGAATGAATTAATTTTTTTATTTTTTGACAGAATCTCCCTCTGTCACCCAGACTGGAGTGCAGTGGCACAATTTTGGCTCACTGCAACCATTGCCTCCTGGGTTCAAGCAATTCTCCTGCCTCAGCCTCCTGAGTCGCTGTGTTTCAGGCACCTGCCATCATGCCGGGCTAATTTTTGTATTTTTGTATTTTTGTAGAGACAGGGTTTCACCTTTTTGTCCTGGCTGGTCTTGAACCCCTGACATCAGGTGATCTACTCACCTTGTCCTTCCAAAGTGCTGGGATTACAGGTATGAGCCACCTCACCTGGCCTTGAATGAATGTATTCTTGACTTCTACCCTATCCCTAACACTGACAATTTCTTGCTTCATGAACTGAATATAGATATGTGATATGAATGGACATCTGATGCAATCCATTAATCTGGGGAGAGCCAAAAACCCAATCAGGATTAACTGGCTGGAGCTTCAGAAATGCAATCAGATATCACTTTTTGATTGGAAGCTAGCAGCGGATACGTGGAGGGGCGTGGGTGGGAGTTGTGATTAGAAAGGTCAATAAAAGCTTCTAAAGACCCACAGGAGAGACCCAAAGTCTTCAAGTCTGGAGTACCTGCCTGGTTCTTCCTGAGGTCTGAGCACCTTCTAGACTACATCCAGATCTGGTAAGTCACTAATTTCTGTAAGGACACTCCCATCTGACCTACAGTCAGCTGGTCTGGGATGTTGACACTGCAGCCTACGATGGCACAGAAGTGTATCCTGTCTTTTTTTTTTTTATATGAACAATTTAAAGCTTGAATGTTTTCCTCTAAATACAGTTCTGTCTTTATTTCAAAAAAGTTGATCGTTCTTTGGTTGATGTCGTTTCAAAATTCTTGAAGGGAGCAGTGACTCATGCCTTTAACCCCAACACTTTGGGAGGCCAAAGTGGGAGGATCATTTCAGCCCAGGGGTTTGAGACCAACCTGGGCAACATGGCAGAAACCCTCCTCTACACAACGTTATTTTTTTTGTGAGGACGGGGATGGAGTCTCACTGTGTTGCCCAGACTGGAGTGCAGTGGCACGATCTCAACTCACTGCAACCTTTACCTTCCAGGTTCAAGCAATTCTCATGCCTCAGTCTCCATCCTCAGAAGCTGGTGTCAGCCATCTGCCACCATGCCTGGCTAATTTTTGCATTTTTAGTAGAGCGGGTGTTTCACCGTGCTGGCCAGGTTGGTCTCCAACACCTGACCTCAAGTGATCCACCTGCCTTGGCCTCCCAAACTGCTGGGATTAGAGCCGTGAGCCACTGGTGCTCGGCCTCTACTTTTTTTTTTTTTAATTAGCCGGGCATGGTGGCATGCATCTGTAGTCCCAGCTATTTGGGTGACTGGTGTGGGAGAATCACTTTAGCCCAGAAGATTGAGGCTGCAGTGAGCCATGCTCACACCACTGCTGTACTCCAGCCTGGGCAAAAGAGAGAGACCCTGTCCAAAAAACAAAAACAAAATCTTAACAAAAAAGGATCTTCGACCTTAATTTTAAACCAATCACATCCTCTCGGTAATTCTTCCACCTGAATGGAGACATGGGTGTGGGGTGCATGCCTGTAATCCCAGCTACGTGGAAGCCTGAAGCATGAGAATTGCTTGAATCTCAGAGGCGGAGGTTACAATGAGCTGAGATGGCGCCGCTGCACTCCAGCATGGGGCAAAAAGTTAGACTCAGCTTCCCCCACACCAAAAAAATTAGATTATACCACCCAGGTGATCACTGGATACATGAAGATTTCTATTGTGTTTTCTTGGGGACTGTCATCTCTGTCTTTGTAAAACGTTTTAACTCTGAAATATTTCGATAAATTTGATGTGGCCAAGGATCCCTCAACAAAGGTACTTTCAAGTTTTTTCTTTTCTCTAATGTCAGGAAGAGATTCAACCCTTCCCTCTCTCACACTCAGGACTTTGAAGGACACATATTAGTAAAACTCCATGTTTATGGAGTGAATCACTGAATGAGTCCTGGACTTTCACCCTATCCCTAATTCTTTCACTTCGATGGATGAATATCTAACTCAATCAGTAAATCTGGAAGAAAGCCAAAAATCCAATCAGGATTAACTGGGTAGAGTTTAAGAAGTCAAATCAAATGTACAAATGTAGTTCTCTCTCTCTCTTTTTTCTTTTTTTTTTTTTTTTTTTTTTGAATCTTGCCTATTTCCCAGGCTGGAGTGCAGTGGTGTATTGTCAATTCACTGCAACCTCTGCCTCCTGGGTTCAAGCGATCCTCCTGCCTCAACCTCCCTGGTAGCTTGGACTATAGGCACAGACCACCGCACCTGGCTAATTTTTGTAATTTTGGTAGAGGTAGGGTTTTACCATGTCGGCCAGGCTTTTCTCAAACTCCTGACCTCAGATAATCCACCTGCCTCTGCCTCCCAAAGTGCTGGGATTACAGGAGTGAGCCACCTCACCTGGCCTTGAATGAATGTATTCTTGACTTCTACCCTATCCCTAACACTGTCAATTTCTTGCTTCATGAAGTGAATATAGATATGTGATATGAATGGACATCTGATTCAATCCATTAATCTGGGGAGAGCCAAAAACCCAATCAGGATTAACTGGCTGGAGCTTCAGAAATGCAATCAGATATCACTTTTTGATTGGAAGCTAGCAGCGGATACGTGGAGGGGCGTGGGTGGGAGTTGTGACTAGAAACGTCAATAAAAGCTTCTAAAGACCCACAGGAGAGACCCAAAGTCTTCAAGCCTGGAGTTCCTGCCTGGTTCTTCCTGAGGTCTGAGCACCTTCTAAACTACATCCAGATCTGGTAAGTCATTAATTTCTGTAAGGACACTCCCATCTGACCTACAGTCAGCTGGTCTGGGATGGTGACAGTGCAGCCTACGATGGCACAGAGCTATATCCTGTCCTTTTTTTTTTTCATGTGAACAATTTGAAGCTTTGAATGTTTTCCTCTAAATACAGTTCTGTCTTTATTTCAAAAAAGTTGATTGTGCTTTGGTTTAGGTCATTTCAAAATTCTTGAAGGGAGCAGTGACTCATGCCTTTAACCCCAACACTTTGGGAGGCCAAAGTGGGAGGATCATTTCAGCCCAGGGGTTTGATACCAACCTGGGCAACATGACAAAAACCCTCCTCTACACAACGTTTTTTTTTTTTTGAGGATGGGGATGGAGTCTCGCTGTGTTGCCCAGACTGGAGTGCAGTGGCACGATCTCAACTCACTGTAACCTTTACCTCCCAGGTTCAAGCAATTCTCATGCATCAGTCTCCATACAGAGAAGCTGGTATAACAGTCATCTGAAACCATGCCTGGCTAATTTTTGTATTTTTAGTAGGGGCGGGGGTTTCACCATGCTGGCCAGTTTGGTCTCAAACGCCTGACCTCAAGTGATCCACCTGCCTTGGCCTCCCAAAATGCTGGGATTAGAGCCATGAGCCACTGGTGCTCGGCCTCTACTTTTTTTTTTTTTTTAATTAGCTGGGCATGGTGGCATGCATCTGTAGCCCCAGCTATTTGGGTGGCTGGTGTGGGAGAATCACTTTAGCCCAGAAGATTGAGGATGCAGTGAGCCATGCTCACACCACTGCTGTACTCCAGCCTGGGCAAAAGAGAGAGACCCTGTCCAAAAAACAAAAGCAACATCTTAACAAAAAAGGATCTTTGACCTTAATTTTAAAGCAATCACATCCTCTTCCACCCAAATGGAGACATGAGTGTGGGGGTGCATGCCTGTAATCCCAGCTACGTGGAAGACTGAAGCATGAGAATTGCTTGAATCTTGGAGGCTGAGGTAACAGTGAGCCGAGATGGCACCACTGCACTCCAGCCTGGGCAACGAAGTGAGACTCAGCTCCCTCAACACCAAGAAGAATTATGCCACCCAGGTAATCACTGGATATATGAAGATTACTATTGTGTTTTCTTAGGAACTGTCATCTCTGTCTTTGTAAAACTGTTTTAACTCTGAAATATTTTGAGAAATTTGATGTGACCAAGGATCCCTCTACAGATACTTTCAAGTTTTCTTTCTTTCTGTCTAATATCAGGAAGAGATTCAACCCTTCCCTGTCTCACACTCAGGACTGTGAAGGACACATATTAGTAAAACTCCACGTTTGTGGAGTGAATCAGTGAATGAGTCTTGGACTTTCACCCTATCCCTAAATCTTTCATTTTGATGGATGAATATCTAATTCAATCAGTTAATCTGGAAGAAAGCCAAAAATCCAATCAGGATTAACTGGGTAGAGATTAAGAAGTCTAATCAAATGTAGCTCTCTCTCTCTTTTGAATCTAGCCTATTTCCCAGGCTGGAGTGGAGTGGTATAATGTCAGCTCACCGCAACTTCTGCCTCCTGGGTTCAAGTGATCCTCCTGCCTCAGCCTCCCTAGTAGCTTGGACTACAGGCGCAGACCACTGCACCTGGCTAATTTTTGCTGGCTTAGTAGAGGTAGGGTTTTACCATGTTGGCCAGGCTCGTCTTGAACTCCTGATCTCAGATGATCCACCTGCCTTGGCCTCACAAAATGCTCAGATTACGGGTGAGTCACTGCACCCAGCCAAAGTGGTTGATTTTGAATATGTGCGAGAGGTGTGTATTGGAATCATCTATCTTGCGAATGATGCATAACAGTGTCACATAGCTTTCAAAGCTTCTCACTGAAATATTCGATAATAAGGCTGGAGTGGAGGCTCACAACTATAATCCCGGTACTTTGGGAGGCCAAGGGGGGTGGATTGCTTGAGACTAGGAGTTCAAGACCAGCTTGGACAACATAGTGAAATCCACTGTCTTTACAAAAAGTCAAAACATAAAAGATGAGCTGGGTGTGGTGATGCATAACTGTGGTCCCAGCTACTTGGGAGGCTGAGGAGGCTTGGGAGGCTGGGAAGTCAAGGCTGCAGTGAGCCAAGATCCCACCACTGCACTCCAGGCTGGGTAACAGAGCAAGACCCTGTCAGAAAGAGTGAGGGAGAGAGGGAGGGAGAGAGAGAATGAGAGAAGGGAGGCAGGGAAAGAAGACAAGAAAGAAAGAAGGGAGAGAGAGGGGGGAAGAAAGAAAGAAGGGAGGGAGAGAGGGAAAGAAGGAAAGAAGAGAGAGAAAGAGAAGGAAACCTTAAATAAAGAAAAGAAAACAAATAGAACCTGTTCTAGGGATGCCCCATGAATGTTCCCAACAAGCTTATTTGTAGGAACTGAAATTGTGGGCATGTAGGCTTGTGACACTCCCTTTCCCATTGTTTTAGAACCTTGAGTAATTAGTAATTTCCCCCAATGGTCGGAGGGGTTTGCTTTCAGCTTCCTCCACACTCACTAGTCACTGGATGGAGCACTGGATAGAAAGGAAGGGCTAGTTGTGGCCCTGCCTCCTCACTGCTTCGGAGACGCTCATGCTGATGCAGCAGAGGCAGAATGCTGGCTTAATGGCCACTGAGTACTGAGTAGAATTGGAGTAAACTGAGGGCTGTTTCACCATTGCCAAAGCAGTGACTTTGGCCCTGGGAGAAGATGAGATTGCATGGGCTTGTCCTGAGAGTGATGCCTTTTCTCTGGGTTTGTCCTCTGGAAGTTTTCCCTGCAGATTCATGAAGATGAGCATCCGGACTCCACCCAGACTCCTGGAGCTGGCGGGGCGGAGCGTGCTGAGGGACCAAGCCTTGGCCATGTCCACCCTGGAGGAGCTGCCCACAGAACTTTTCCCCCCACTGTTCATGGAGGCCTTCAGCAGGAGACGCTGTGAGGCCCTGAAGCTGATGGTACAGGCCTGGCCCTTCCGCCGCCTCCCTCTGAGGCCTCTGATAAAGATGCCTTGTCTGGAGACCTTCCAAGCTGTGCTCAATGGGCTTGATGCACTGCTTACCCACGGGGTTCGTCCCAGGTGAGGTGGGCCAGGTGGGCTGGTGGGGAGGGCCCAGGTGTCCAACCGAAGGAACAGCTGGGTCATGAGAAGTGAGGAGGCCCAAGGGGCGATGGTGGTGGTGAGGAAGCTGAGAGGCCTTGGCCATTCACCAGCTCCTCAGGGAAAGCACTGCTGACCATGCCAGGTCCATGGAGGTAACAGGAACCTCTCCCCTAATGGCACTGAAAGCCAGCATGAAAAGTGAGAACTGGGCCGGGCACGGTGGCTCACAATGTATTCCCAGCACATTGGGAGGCTGAGGTCAAGAGTTGGAGGCCAGCCTGTACAACATGGTAAACCCCAACTCTACTAAAAATACTAAAATTAGCTGGGCATGGTGCTGGGCTCCTGTAATCCCAGCTACTTGCAAGGTTGAGGCAGGAGAATCCTTTGAACCGGGGAAGCAGAGGTTGCAGTGAGGTGACATCACACCACTGCACTCCAGCCTGGGTGACAGAAGGAGACTTGGTCTCAAAAAAAAAAAAAAAAAAAAAAAAAACTGTGAAAGTGGGCAGGATCCAAGGGGAAAACAGGGTGGAGAAATGTCAGAGACAGGGACAAGAAGCAGGGAGGGGAGGAGCTGCTATGCAGGATGTGGAGTTTAAGTTCAGAAATGAGTTCTGAAATTCTCAGTCTCACCTCTATTTTCCCACAGGAGGTGGAAACTTCAAGTGCTGGATTTACAGGATGTCTGTGAGAACTTCTGGATGGTTTGGTCTGAAGCTATGGCCCGTGGGTGCTTCCTCAATGCCAAGAGGAACAAAAAACCAGTGCAGGACTGTCCAAGGATGAGAGGACGGCAGCCCTTGACTGTGTTCGTAGAACTTTGGCTCAAGAACAGGACTCTGGATGAACACCTCACCTGCCTCCTTCTATGGGTCAAGCAGAGGAAAGATTTACTACACCTGTGCTGTAAGAAGCTGAAAATTTTGGGAATGCCCTTCCGCAATATCAGAAGCATCCTGAAAATGGTGAACCTAGACTGTATCCAGGAGGTGGAAGTGAATTGCAAGTGGGTACTGCCCATCCTGACACAGTTTACCCCATACCTGGGCCACATGAGGAATCTTCAGAAGCTCGTTCTCTCCCACATGGATGTCTCTCGCTACGTTTCCCCAGAGCAGAAGAAGGAGATTGTTACCCAGTTCACCACTCAGTTCCTCAAGCTGCACTGCCTCCAAAAGCTTTATATGAACTCTGTTTCTTTCCTCGAAGGCCACCTGGACCAGCTGCTCAGGTGAGGGAGGGTGGTGAGCTTTCTCTGCAGACCACAGCAGAGCCTGTTTCACTAAACGCTAGTGGGCATCTACTGTGAGCCAGCCTATGAGGATGAAACAGTGAAGGGGACACTAGAATGTCCATACATTGTCCTGTTGGCGGCCCTGTCCTGAAATGGGTATCATGCAACCATCCCAATAGAGGCAGAGGGATCAGCTAGGGGAGATGCTATAGAGAGGTTGCCATACTAGGAAGCTAGCTACTGGGGGGTTCAGATCTAGTGAGGGTGCCTTTCTGAATTCTTCCTGAGGACGTGTGTCTAAGTTAAGATGATGAAAAATAGGTCAGGGACGGTGGCTCATGCCTGTAATCCTAGCACTTTGGGAGTCTGAGGCAAGAGGATAGCTTGAGCCTAGGAGTTTAAGACCAGTCTGGGTAACATCCCAAGACCCCTGTCAGAAATGAAGAAATAAAAGTAAAAACAAACAAGATAACTTTTTTTTTTTCTGAGATGGATTTTCACTATGATCGTCCAGGCTAGAGTGCAGTTGTGACATCTCAGCTCGCAGCAACTTCTGCCTCCCAGGTTCAAGCGATTCTCCTGCCTCAGCCTCCTCAGTGCCTGGGATTACAGGCGTGAGCCACCACACCTGGCTAATTTTTATATTTTAAGTAGAGACAGGGTTTCACCATGTTGGCCAGGATATTCTCCAACTCCTGACTTCAGGTGATCCGCCCACCTTGGACTCCCAAAGTGCTGGGATTATAGGCGAGAGCTACCACGCCCAGCCAACAAGATAATTTTTAAGAAGATGATGGGAAGTAGGGAAGTGAAGTGGTCACTGAAGAGGGGAATGCTCAGCAAATCTGCACATGTCAGAAAATCAGCTTTGTGCCCCACAGTTCCGTGAACATGAATGATCCCATCTCTAATTCCCTGTTGTAAAAGTTTCTTTTGAGCTCCAGGTAAATTAATTACCTAGGAAATGTATGATTCTGAAACAGAGGGTCAGGGAGCAGGCACAAAGAATGGTGAAAGTGATAGATGGTTTGCTGATGATACAGGCGTGTCAGGGACGCCTGCAGCCCGCC
This sequence comes from Homo sapiens, assembly GCF_000001405.40. NCBI lineage: Eukaryota > Metazoa > Chordata > Mammalia > Primates > Hominidae > Homo > Homo sapiens. Next base: position 96,069 of record NT_187517.1, on the reverse strand, counting down.
CACCCCAGCTGATGTTGCAGGATCCTGTCTGGGTTTGTCCTTTATGCCTGCATCTCCACTGGGCTTCTGTGGCCCAGGGATGTGGTTTTCTGCCTGACAGATGAGGAAAGGGAGCTTTAGGGATTCTGTGAACTTGATCCATTCCTATAAATGATGGTGAAATGACTCAGCCTCAAATGGAATTATTTTTTCTCCTTTTTTTTTTTTTAATACAGAGTCTCTCTCTGTCACCCAGGCTGGAGTGTAGTGGCATGATCTCTGCTCACTGCAACCTACACCTCCTGGGTTCAAGCGATTCTTCTGCCTCAGCTTCCCAAGTAGCTGGAATTGCAGGCTCCCGCCACCACAGCTGGCTAATTTTTGGATTTTTAGTAGAGAGGAGGTTTTGCCATGTTCAGCAGGCTGGTCTCAAACTCCTGATCTCAAGGAATCCACCAGTCTCAGCCTCCCAAAGTGCTGGGATTACAGGTGTGAGTTACTGGGCCGGGCCTAAAGTGGAATTGACCTCGGTGGCAAAGCTCTTCATCACACATCATCCGAAGTGTTGACCATCCGGCCATGAGAATGATCCTGGACTTGGGCAAAATGGTCTCCATCCATTACCTTGAAGCCATTCCCCACCACCCTCCACTCACCCCTATGATTCCCCAGAATTAACTTCTTGCTCTCTCTCCACAGCTGTCTGAAGACCTCGTTAAAGGTCCTCACAATAACTAACTGTGTGCTTTTGGAATCAGACTTGAAGCATCTATCCCAGTGCCCGAGTATCAGTCAACTAAAGACCCTGGACCTGAGTGGCATCAGACTGACCAATTACAGTCTTGTGCCTCTCCAAATTCTCCTAGAAAAAGTTGCAGCCACCCTTGAGTACCTGGATTTAGATGACTGTGGCATCATAGACTCCCAAGTCAACGCCATCCTGCCTGCCCTGAGCCGCTGCTTTGAGCTCAACACCTTCAGCTTCTGTGGAAATCCCATCTCCATGGCCACCCTGGAGAACCTGCTGAGCCACACAATCATACTCAAAAACTTATGCCTGGAGCTGTATCCTGCCCCACGGGAGAGTTATGGTGCTGATGGTACTCTCTGCTGGAGCAGATTTACTCAGATTAGGGCTGAGCTGATGAAGAGAGTTAGGGACTTAAGGCACCCCAAGAGGATCTTGTTCGGTACTGACTACTGCCCTGACTGTGGCAACAGGTCATTTTATGACCTGGAGGCAGATCAATACTGCTGTTGAATGCCTGCCTATTTGGATGGGTATGTCAAACGCTTTCTTCTGGACACTTGGAAACTAAAACCTAGGTCTTAGGTACATCCTAAAGGGAGCACAGAACCCATCGTTTCACACATGGGCTCTGAAAGTGGGAAAGGAATGCTGATCAAGCAGGGGCAGGACTTGGGGGAAATGTTGCCATGGATTCGATGGGACTTTGGGAACGTGTATCCTGTAGAGTCGAAAATGGGAATCTGAATGTCTAGAGTGGAATTCAGGCTTGAGAATACATGAGAGAGTTACTCTTGCATGGATGGTTGTAAAGAAACAATCAGAAATAAAGGAAAACTGAGCAGAATCTGTCTGGTGCCCTCTATTATTAAGTAACCTGTTTTCCAGTTTAAGCCTCAGGAATCTTCAGTTATTGATGGAAAAAACAAAAGGCACTGACTGAGTTGTCCAATCAATAAGATGCAGCCCAAGAAAATCAAGGCATTTAAATGAAATTTGGTTATTGTAATCACTTTCCTCCCATTCTTTTATTGGAGACAGAGTTTCACTCTTGTTGCCCAGGCTGGAGTTTAGAGTGCAATGGTGCCATCTCAGCTGACTGCAACCTCCACCTGGGGTTTAAATGATTCTCCTGCCTCAGCCTCCCAAGTAGCTGGGATTACTGGCATGCACCACCGTGCCCAGCTAATTTGTGTATATTTAGTAGAGACAGGGTTTCCTCACTATGTTGGTCAGGCTGGTCTCAAACTCCTGACTTTGGGTGATTCATGCAAGTAGGCCTACCAAAATGCTGGGATTACAGGTGTGAGCCACTGTGTCAGGCTTTTGCTTTTGTTTTTGTTTTTTAAAGGTCTTCTGTCACTCAGGCTACAGTGCAGTGGCACAATCATACCTCACTGCAGCCTCAATTTCCTGGGTTCAGGCGATCTTCCCACCTCAGCCTCCTGAGTAGCTAGGACTACAGCTGTGTGAGCCACCACACCTGGATACTTCTTTTTAGTAGAAACAAGGCCTCGCTGTCTTCCCCAGGCTGATCTGGAACTCCTGAGCTTGTGATTCTCCTGCCTTGGCCTCCCAAAATGCAGGGAGTATAGGCGTGGACCACCACGCTTGGCTTGGCCTCCTCCAGTTCTTCACTTCTTTAGATGTCTGTTAAATCCTTGTTAGTTTCTGTGGCTGTTCAGTGGGTTAATACACACCAGGTGGACACCAAAGGCCTGGAACATTACTGGGCAAGAACAGTGAGCCAATCCACACGGAAAGCACCTTCTTCTCAGGGTCTTTCACTGCTAGCCAGATGCTGAGACCCTGCCCACTCCCTGTGAGTCTCCACATGCTTCCAGAAGCCTTAGTTGGTGGATGTCAGCTGCACTGCACAAGGACCCACTCTCTTCTCGCTGCCCTGGAAGGGTATGTCCATATTGTGTATTAGCTGGAGACTCTGGGCAGCACCAAACCTTGCTTGTTCCCCTGATGACCAGCAGCCCTTCTTGAATTAAACTGGTTGTAGCCAGTAAAGACAGCCACATTCCCTTTAAGTAAAATACTAAAACTATACAGGCATGTAACACTTTTTAAATATTTCCATCTGACATTTTAAAAGTTACATCTTTTTGGGGAGCTAGGTCAGATTGATGAGAGATTTTCTCATAACACCTTCCCTCTCTCCCTATGAAGGAAGAGACTAGTGCAGCGTGTTCTGGAATCTGACAGCATCAAAGGGTGGATAACGATCAAGGGCCTGTGGGTGATGAGTGACCTTCCCTGTGCTGAGGAAGCCTGCATAGCGGGCATCCAAGTGAAGGATCCTGCTGAGTACTCAGGGGCTGGTGTTGCTGTCAGGGATGTTAGCCAAGAGCCTCAGCTTCCTGTAAAATGAGGATGATGATGTCCAACAGCTTATGGGACCTAGGTAGGATCCAATGAGATGGTTCATGTTTAGGGCTTGGCATGGGGTCTGGCATACAGTAAGATCAATACATCTTGTTCTTTTTTCTCTTCTCAGCAGAAGTCCCAGCATTTTTCATCTTTCAATCTCACCTCCTTTTCCTGATAATAGAGAGGCAACAAGAACTCAGGGCATGCAATGGGGCTCAACTTCTACTCTCTGCCACAATTTCATCATGATTCCCCCAAAGAGCAGAGCCCCAGGAGCCAGCAGGGGGCAGGGTGGGCATTTCTGGACTGGATTCATTCATAATAAGATCAAAATTTCCAATCCGTATGTCTCGGGTGCCATCTGCTGATAGATCCGACCAGATGGTATAATTGAGTGTTGCAAGGATTATATTTTATGGTGTTTTTAAAAATGTACTATTATGAGCCAGGTGCAGTGGCTCACGCCTGTAATTCCAGCACTTTGGGAGGCTGAGGCAGGTGGATCACCTGAGGTTGGGAGTTTGAGACCAGCCTGAGCAACATGAAGAAACCCCTTCTCTACTTAAAATACAAAAAATTAGCCAGGCGTGGTGGCGCACGTCTGTAATTGCAGCTACTCGATAGGCTGAGGCGGGAGAATCGTTTGAACCTGGGAGGTGGAGGTTGCGGTGAGCTCAGACTGAGCCATTGCACTCCAGCCTGGGCAACAGTAGCAAAAGTCCGTCTCAAAAAAAAAAAGATAAAATAAAATTTATTATTATGGCCGGGCATGGTGTCTCACACTTCTAATCCCAGCACTTTGGGAGGCCAAGGCAGCCTCGGGATTTTGAGACCAGCCTTGCCAACATGGTGAAACCCCGTCTCTACTAAAAATACACAAAATTTGCTGGGAGTGGTGGCATTCGCCTGTAATCCCAGGTATTCAGGAGGCTGAGGCAGGACAATCACTTGAACCCGGGAGGCGAAGGTTGCAATGAGACAAGATCGCGCCACTGCACTCCAGCCTGGGTGACAGAGCATGAAAAAAAATTTACTATAATGTGAATACTATTAGAGTACAAATATTTGTGTTGTAATTTATGTACATGAAAGATTAGAACTTTTAAAGAATGCAACGTGATATGTTAAGAATGGTTAATGGCCAGGTGTGGTGGTTCATGCCTGTATTCCTGGCACTTTGGGAGGCCGAGGTGGGCAGATCACGAGGTCAGGAGTTCCAGACCAGCCTGGCCAACATGATGAAACCCCGTCTCTACGAAAAATACAAAAAATTAGCCTGGCGTGGTGACAGGCGCCTGTAATCCCAGATAGTCAGGAGGCTGAGGCAAGAGAATCGCTTGAACCTGGGAGGCAAAGGTTGCAGTGAGCCGAGAATGCACCACTGCACTCCAGCCTGGGTGAAAGAGGAAGACTCCGTCTCAAGGAGGGTGAGAAAAAGAATACTTAACTTGGTTTGAAATGTCAAAACAAATGAGATTTTAAAAACCAATTTTAAAGACACTGAACAATAATCATTTCTTCTTTAAAATATATTTAGAATAATACAATTTTAGCTTTGAAAGGAAACATTACAGTTTTTAAAAATATTGAGTTTATTTTATTTTATTTTATTTTATTTTATTTTATTTTATTTGGAGACAAAGTCTCACTCTGTCGTCCAGATTGGAGTGCAGTGGCATGATCACGGCTTACTGCAGCCTTGACCTCCTAGGCTCAGGTGATCTCCCTGCCTCAGTCCCCCTAGTAGCTGGAACAACAGGCATGCACCATCATGCCTGGCTTATTTTTGTATTCTTAGTGAAGACCAGGCTTCACCATGTTGCCCAGATTGGTCTTGAAATTCTGGGCTCAAGCGATCCACCTGGCTCGGCCTCCTAAATTGCTGGGAGTGAGCTCTTATAGGCATGAGCCACCGCACCCAGCCTTGAGTTTATTTATTTATTTATTTTGGAGATGGAGTCTCACTCTTTCACCCAGGCTGGAGTGCAGTGGTACGATCTCAGCTCACTGCAACCTCTGCCTCCAGGGTTCAAACAATTCTCCTGTCTCAGCCTCCAGAGTAGCTGGGATTACAGGCATGCACCACCACACCTGATTAATTTTTGTATTATTATTATTATTATTTTTTAGTAGAGACAGGGTTTTGTCATTTTAGCCAGGCTGGTCTCGAACCCCTGACCTCAGGTGATCCACCCGCCTCGGCTTCCCAAAATGCTACGACTATAGATGTGAGCCACCACGCCCAGCCTATTTTTTTCTTTATAGCAGTTTTAGATTCACAGAAAAACTAAGCAGAAACTGCAGAGTTCTCATCTACCTTCTTCCCCCTTCAATACACAGCACCCCCACAGGATCAGCACCCACACCAGCACAGAGCATTCGTCACAATCAATGAGCCACAGGGACACATCATTATCACCCAATGTCCATAGTTTACATGAAGGATCATTGCTGGTTTTGTATATTCTATGGATTTTAACAAAGGGATAATGACATGTATCCACCATTAGAGCATCATGCAGAGTAGTTTTGTTTCCTTAAAAGTCCTCTGTCCTCTTTCCATTCATCCCATTGTACTCCAAATCCCTCGCAACCAGTGGGTTTTCTACCATCTCCATAGAAAAAGGCAGAAGGCTTTTCTGGAATGTCTAACAGGATGAGTCTTTTCACATTGCCTTCTTTCACTTGTACAATAACGTGCATTTAGGAATCTTTCATGTCTTTTTATGGCTTTGTAATAGTTCACTGACCAGATGGATCACAGTTTCTTTATCCAGTCACCCACTGATGGGCATCTTTCTTGCTTCCAAGTTTTGGCGATTATGAATAAAGCTGCTATAAACATCCAGGTGTGGGTTTACTCCCTTCGTTAAATACCTGGGAGCATGATGACTGAATCGTAGGGGTATGGTATGTTTTACAAGGATTTTTTCTTTCTTGACAATCTCACTTGTTCGATATTGCTGCTAAAGGTCAGGAACTTTGTCTCGATCATCCTGTGGTCCCACTGCTGAGCATGGAACGTGGCACTTGGTAGCAAATGCTGTTGACCACATGATGCATGGAAATGCTTATCATCAGTATAGCCACTAAATTGCTAACGTGGGGACGTCAACAGTAGCTCACTACCAATAATACAAATAAGTTGGATTATGGAAAAAATAGCCCTTGTGATACTGTGGATACTCCATGTGTATCATGAAAGTACAGCAATTGGCCAGGTGCAGTGGCTCACATCTGTAATCCCAGCATTTGGGAGGCCGAAGTGGGTGGGTCACTTTAGGTCGGAAGTTTGAGACAAGCATGGCCAACATGATTGAAATCCTGTCTCTATTAAAAATACAAAAATTGACTGGGCGTGGTGGTGCATAGGTGTAGTCCCCACTACTGGGGAGACTGAGGGAGGAGAATTGCTTGAACGCAGGAGGTGGAGGTTGCAGTGATCGAAGATCATGCCATTGCACCCCAGCCTAGGCAACAGAGTGAGATACCGTATCAAAAAAAGAAAAAGAAAGAAAGAAAGAGAGAGAGAGAGAGAGAGAGAAAGAAAGAAAGAAAAACAAAATGAAACAAAACAAGAAAGTCCAGCATGGTAGGAGGTACATAGAGGTACATGAGGGCGAGCTTCATTTGTTTTTCATCCTTTTTCCCTTCTCTGGACAGTATTCTGAATGCAAAACATTCCAAAACCACAGAGCAAACATCTCCTATAATCTTCCCCTTATCCCAGACTTCTCTTCACAGTGTATGTGCTAGTGTCTTCCAGACTTTTGTATGACTTGCTATACAGAAGATCAGATCAAATGGGCATGTCCCTAAAAAGTGGTGACTTGCCAGTTCTGGACTCACTTTGCAGGGTGCCGGGACCTCTGTGAGAATCAAGCAGTAGCTCCAGGAGCCAGGGCTTTGGGTCTCTTCTGTGCACCTTCAGGAGCTTTTATTGACCTTTCTCACTACAACCCCCTTCTTGACTACCAACTTTCAATTCGAAAACGACATCCAACTGGATCGTGAACTTCCACCCAGTTAACCCTGATTGAGTTTTCAATTTTCTTCTCATGAAGTGATTAAATTAGATAGGCATTTATGAAAGTGAAAGAAGTAATAACAGGATGAAGGTCTAAAACTCATTTATTCACTTATTCCACAAACACTGGTAAAGTTTGACTAATATGTGACCTTCATAGTGATACAGGGAAGGATTTAATCTGTTTCTGACATTAGAATATATATATATCTTTATTGGAGAATCTTTGGCCACATCAAAAGTATCAAAACATTTCAGCATTAAAGCAGCTTTAAGAAGACAGGGATGTCATCCCTAAAAAACACAATAAAAATCTCTGTGTATCCACTGGGCACCTGGGTTTTATGCTACCTAACATGGTAGATCATATGCCCATTCAGGTGGAAGACAGGAACTACTGAGGGTGTAATTTTTCTCAAGGTTAAGGTCAAGGTTTCACTGAAAGAAATCAGGCCTACATTACAAAGTAAGGTGAGGGCTGGGCTGGATGGGACTAAGTGTTCTAATGGGACCCTAGGAGGGAACCAAGACAACATAAAACATGGCAGGTATTTTGTGGGCATCTGGACAAAAGGATTGAAAGACTTTTTTTTTTTTTAGATTGGGTGTCACCCAGGGTGGTGTGCAGTGTTGCAATCTTGACTCACTGCAACCTCTGCCTCCCAGGCTCAAGCAATCATCCCCTCTCAGCCTTCTGAGTAGCTGGAACTTCCAGCACGTGGCAGCATACCTGGCTAATATTTTGTATTTCATGCAGAGAAAAGATTTTACCACATTTCCTGGGCTAGTCTCAGAATTCCTGGACTCAAGTGAACCATGGTGCCCAGCAATGTTATTGTGATTTTAAATGACAGATTTTGCTTTGTTTTTAAGAAAACCACAGAGATATTCCACATGCTATTTTCTTTTCTTTTTTTTTTTTAATTTTGAAATGAAGTCTCACTCTGTCACTCAGGCTGGGGTGCAATGGCATGATCTCAGCTCACTGCAACCTCCACCTCCCAAATTCAAGTGATTCTTCTGCCTCAGCCTCCTGCGTAGCTGAGATTACAGGTGCGAGCCAACACACCCAGCTAATTTTTGTATTTTTAGTAGGGTTGGGGTTTCACCATATTGGCCTCACTGGTCACGAACTCCTAACCTCAGATGATCCACCTGCCTTGGCCTCCCAAAGTGCTGGGATTACAGGCATGAACCACCATGCCCCATCATATATGCTATTTTCTATTAATTTTTTTAATAGTGATGGGGTCTTGCTTTACTACGTAGTCTGGTCTTGAGGCAGAAATTTAAACACAATAATAACAATAAATACTACATTCATTTACTCCAAGAAAAGTTACAGACAAAGCTATAAGAAGGTCATAGTGACCTAGTCTGAGAAGTAAAAGCCAAGGCCCAGAATGTGTCAGGCAAAGGTAAAACAAACAAACAAACAAACAAAAAACAAGTTTTCCTCTGCCTAGCAAGCTCATTTCAAGGACAGTTATAAGATAATGCTGTTGGAGAAGTTGAAAGAAAGGAATAGGCTCCAGACACCCACTGCTCCAGAGCAAGGGTGATTAAAAAAAAGAAAGAAAAATGGCAAATGTCTGTATTTAGCCAGTTCTTCTTTTTTCTTTTGATGCAGCTACAAGGCCACCAGCTATGCAAGGCCACAGTTATGTAATAGATTACATTACCTGTCATTGTATGATTAACTGCCATTGTTTTGCTTCTGTAAGCCTGCTTATAAAAATCCTGCTCAGTCTTTGTTCAATGCTCAGCTTTTTGGATATGAATCCACTGAGCCAGTGTGTACCTTAAAAAAAAAAATCCTCCTGTTTTCCCATATCAGTCTCTCTGGTCCTCAGTTTCTCAGAACTTTTTGGTGAGCCAGACAGGAGGAGTGGAGATGACAGGTTTACTTTCTCCTTTTCTTGTGGGGCTGGAGCCCAGGGTCAAGGGAAAGAAACCTGTGACCCCAGGCGCTGCTGGAAGAACTTCAGCCCAGAGGGGAGATCGGCTCTCCTGTGACCTGGTGCCCCCACCCAGCAGCACAACAGAACCTGAGGGGCTACAGGATGATTCCAGGAGCAGTGTGATTTCTTCAGGACTGCAGTAAAGTTTTGGGACCAAAGACAGGATCCGTCCCATAAGGACGGAAGGGGAGCCTGATCACCTCCAAGGGTGTAACTAGTAATCTGACCCAGAGAGGCTGGAGGTGGTGACAGAGGCTCGCCAATTCAGATGAATCTCACACCCTACCTGGCACACAATGCAAGAGTGGCTCCCCAAGTCGGTTAGGAAAAGAAAACTGGAGGTGGTGAGAGTGGCTCACAACCCCAATTAGGAACACACGAACTGGGAGTGGGGAGGTGTGTGAAAGTGTGTGAAAGATACAGTTCAGGGAGGAACCAATGTGGGAGTGGCATGGGGAGTCACAGATCTCTTAGCATGGTCTGTGTGCTCCAAGCCAAGTGCGGGGCCAACCTGCACTAGTGGCGAACCGCATACAGCTAATAGGAGCTGCCCCACATCTCAGAGTTATGGTGGGAATAAAACCCTTTCTTAAGCCAAGTGGCATCTGAAAACTCCCATAATAGGAGATGATCTGGTGGGACTGAGGCAAAAGGAAGAGTGGGTGTGCTGCATCGTAAAGCGAGGAAATAGGAGGAAAGTCATCAAAACACACTCCATTGGGTGCATGTTAGAGAACTTTAATAAAGGTTTTGCAGGAGATTATGGAGTTACGCTAACCTCCTAGAGGTTGAGAACTCTCTGTGAATTCAAATGGCCTTCTTTTGGTGTTGGATGGCCAACCAAAGGAACTATAGATAGGGAAATAATTGACCGTGTATTTAAGGTGGTGACAGGGGTTGGAGGACAGCCTGGGCACCCAGATCAATTTCCTTATATTGACTTATGGTTAAATATAGCACAGACAAGACCAGCATGGTCCAGCTCTGTTTAGCCAGTTAGTGCAAAACACTTGTGGCCAGAGCCGTGCCAAAAATGAAAGTAAGAACAGCTTCACCGGCAGACACAGAGTTAAAGGCAAAGTCCCAGAGGGAGCAAAAAAGCCAGTTTTGCAGGATCCACCAGAGGGAATAGAGATTCCTACTCCATATGTCCCAGCCTAGCCTTCTTTACCGAGGCCAACAGTCCCCCAGGAACCAGATTCAGGAGCTAGCACACCCAAAGTCTCACCCCAAAGGAAGGATCAGAGGCTTGAGAGGCCAGGGAAGGAAGTCAAGATGGTTAAGCCGGCCATCTCAGATCTAGCCATGCTTGAGTTATGCAAATGCATCTCAGGGAGATGGGAGGACCCATTTATTATGATGACCAAGGCCAAGTCAGGTGGGGGGAATGGACTTTCATCTATCATCCCTTTTCAACCATTGATCTCTTGAACTGGAAACACCATACTCCCTCCTATATGGCAAAGCCCCAAGCTCTTATAGATCTGATGCAATCCATCTTTCTGACACACAATCCAACCTGGCCAGACTGCAGGCAGTTTTTTCTCCCACTGTTTAACACTGAGGAGTGTCGGAGAGTAACACAGGCAACTCTCTGCTGGCTAGAAGCCCGCTGTTCTCTCTCTACACTTTGTCTCTGTGTCTTATTTCTTTTCTCAGTCTCTCACCCCACTTGATGAGGTATACCCACAGGTGTGGAGGGGCTGGCCCCCTTCCTTTAGGGGCAGCAGGATTCTGCCACATCTGGATTCCAAATTTTTCAGTGATGGCTAAGACATTATATGAAGCCACAAAATCGGAGAAAAAGAGCCCCTCCTTTGGGAAACTAATCAGGAAATAGCATTCAAACAGCTCAAGGAAGCTTTAGGTCAGGCCCAACCTTAGGACTACCAGATATAATTAAGCCTCTCTTTCTATGTATTCATGAATGAAAAGGAATGGTTATAGGGGTTCTGACTCAAATTATAGCATCATGGCATTGCCCAGTGGCGTATTTATACAAACAACTGGACTCTGTGGTGCTAGGATGGTCTCCTTGCCTTAAGGCATTAGCTGCCACCATCTTGTTAACACAAGAAGCTAGCAAATTAACTCTGGGACAGCAGCTAACTGTGCGGGTGCCACACTCAGTTATAACTTTGATGGACCAAAGAGGGCATCTTTGGTTATCAAACCCAAAAATGACTCAGGTCTTCCTTGTGAGAACCCTTACATTATTTTAGAAACAGTGAACACCTTAAACCTGGCTCCTCTGCTCCCAGTCTAACCGGGGGCTCCCCTCCATGACTGTGTTGCAACAGTAGATGAGGTGTTCTCCAGTCGGAAAGATCTTGCAGACAGACCTCAGAGACCCGGCTTTTGAATACTTCACAGATGGAAGTAGTTTTGTGCTAGAAGGGGTTCAAGATGCCAGGTATGCAGTAATAACATTGGACTTAGTAGTAGATGCTCTGCCTCTGCCTACTGGAACATGAGCTCAAAAGGCAGAATTAATAGCCCTGACAAGAGCACTGTTTCTAGCAAAAGAGAAGAAGGTCAATATTTACACTGATTCTAAGTATGCTTTTACTACATTGCATGTACATGAAGTTATAGACAAAGAGAAAGGGCTTTTAACAGCTGGAGGCAAAGAAATCAAGTACAAAGAAGAGATTCTACAGCTCTTAGAGGCTGTATGGCCTCCAGGAAAAGTAGCTTTAATGCACTGCAGATGGCACCAAAAGTCAGGGACACCAAAAACCAAAAGAAACAGAAAGGCAGACAGAGAGGCAAAGAGGGGAGCAATGATTGCATCACATTTTAAAGAGGAAGCCTTAGCTATGCTTCTCCTCCCAGAAGCTCCTCTCCAAGAAGATCCAAGTTCTACTCCAAATGAAAGAGCCTGGTTTGCTCAAGAAGCTGGAAAATATATTAAAGGAGGGTGGTGGAAATTCTTCAATGGGACATTAGCCATTCCAGAAATGTTAGCTCCTACGTTTCTGAAGCAAATTTATCTAGGAACTCATATGGGAAAAAATGGCACTGGAAACATTACTGAAATGCTGTTTCTATGTGCCGTGGCCATCATTTGAGCTGTTTGTAAACAATGTTTAACCTGTGCTCAGAACAACCCGTGACAGGGGCCCACTCAACCCCCAAGAATTCAGGAAGTAGGAACCATGCCTTGTGAAAACTTTCTTGTAGACTTTACCAAACTACCCCATGCCAGAGGCTATCAGTATATGCTGGTGCTTATTTACACCTTTTCAGGATGGGTTGAAGCTTTCCCCACCAGAACAGAAAAAGCATGAGAAGTGACTAAAGTACTGCTAAGAGACATCATCCCCATGCTTGGACTGCCTCTAACTTTAGGGTCCGTTAATTGCACGGCATTTGTAGCTGAAATAGTGCAAGATTTAACAAGACTGTTAAAAATAAAATGGAAGTTACACACAGCCTATCAGCCGCAAAGTTCAGAAAAAGTGGAATGCATGAACCAGACACTCAAGGAGCTTCTGAAGAAATATTTCCAGGAAACCTATCTGAGATGGGATCAGGTCTTGCCTATGGTCCTCCTCTGAGTCAGGTGCACCCTCACCAAACAAACTGGGTATTTGCCCTATGAGATTTTGTTCAGTCAGCCTCCCCCAGTCATAAGTCAAATTAAAGGTTATCTCCTTGAACTAAGAGAATTAACCTTAAGAAAGCAAATGCAGGCATTAGGGACAGACTTGCAAAGTGTCCATGGGTGGGTACAGGAAAGAATGCCTGTAAGCCTGACAGACCAGACACACCCCTTTAAACCTAGTGACTCTGAGTTAAAAAGTTGAATTAAATTCTCTAGGACCCATATGGGATGGGCCCTATACTGTAACCTTTTTTTTTTTTTTTGATGCAGAGTCTTGCTCTGTCCCCCAGGCTGGAGTGCAGTGGTATGATCTCAGCTCACTGCAAGCTCTGCCTCCTGGGGGTCGCACCATTCTCTTGCCTCAGCCTCCCAGGTAGCTGGGACTACAGGTGCCCGCCACCATGCGTGGGTAATTTTTGTATTTTTTTTTTTAATAGAGATGAGGTTTCACCGTGTTAGCCAGGATGCTCTCCATCTCCCAACCTCGTGATCCACCCGCCTCGGGCTCTGAAAGTGCTGGGATTACAGGCATGAGCCAACACACCCAGCCCTATACTGTAATCTTGTGTACTCCCTCTGCTGTTAAAGTTGCAGGTGTTGTGCCTTGGATCCACCACAGCTGGCTGAAACCGAAGCTCAGGACAAGTGGACCAGCCAGCAGGACCCAGATCACCCACCTGATCCTGAGATGAGACACAGCTGGTCCTGAGATGAGACCAAGCTGATGCTAAAGATGACTGCCCTGCTCTGGTCACTCCAGAAGCTGACCAGTCTACGTACAGCTGAAGGTTGAGGAGACAACAAGCCCTGCTCTAGTCACACACTGGAAGCTGACTAGTCTACGCACGGCCGAAGCTTGAGGACTCATCAAGCAAATAAACATAGTTAGAAATCTTAGGACTAGTAGTTTTCCTTGTAATACTGTTTTCCTATTGTTCACTGAAACCTCTGCTTCCTCAGTTCAAGCAATTCTCCTGCCTCAGCCTCCCAAGTAGCTGGGACTACAGGCACAACACCACACCCAGCTAATTCTTCTATTTTTACTAGAGATGAGGTTTCACCATATTGGCCAGGCTGGTCTCAAATTCCTAACCTCATGATCCACATGCCTCAGCCTCCCAAAGTCCTGGGATTACAGGTGTGAGCCACTGCGCCCAGCTGTCCTGCTTCTTTCTCAGTGGGGATCTGCTCCCCACACATTCTCCTCTGTGTTCCTCAGGCCACGAATATCTCTGAGGTCCATCAGTGTGAGGTCTCTTGCAGGTGCCATTCCTTCCTTTCTCTCAGGACTTTTTTTATTGGTGTGTCTCTGTGCCATAAGGAATGTGTGCCTGTGAAGAACAGGCTAGACTCTGCAGCAGGACACAGAGGCCCTGGAGAGGCAGACAGTGGAGCAAGCAGGGGCTGAAGTTACCTCGTTTTTACCCAAAGGAGGCTCCTAACCACTGTCGCCACTGACACAGTGGCTCCAATAAAAAGAAAATAGGGGATGACTCCACACATTTCCTTGAGCAGCTAGAAAAAAAAATCCCTGTTGATATTCATATTAGTACAGTACTTTTGGTAGTGTTAGCACTTGTATTAGTAGTAGTACTAGTATTAGTGTCAATACCTACATTAGTATTAGTAGTGGTCTTGTTTAGCTGATGAAAGCTTGTTTCTCTCTCCTTCTGGGATAAAAACTCAAGACACCCTGGGGATCTCGAGTGCATGGACCAGGGAGTCTGAAGGAGTTTGTTCTTTGGATGTGAACCCATGGGAAGTGGGTGTGTATTCTGTGGCCAAAGTCGCTGACCTCTTTGATTAGAGGAGACACAGGGGGCTAGCACCCACCCCCAGGCCTGTGCTTCCAGGAACACTTCTCTCTCTTTCCATGTGTGTGCCTGAGAGGGTTCCTGGTCCTCACCCATCCCCATTGGCTCTTCTACAAGTGATGTGTCTACTGTACACCTACAGGTGACCTTGTGTAGAAAGAAATCCAAGAACACACATGGGGCCACATAGAGTGAGACTGCCTCCAGGCAGGCACAGGGACCCCGAGCTTCTGAGGCACTGTGAGCGCCTGAGACTGGGGCACTCTCATGGAGACAAATGCATGGGGCTTTAGAAAAGGCTGGGTTGGAGGGAGCAGAGGAGGGCATGGATGGAATGCAGGGGTCCCTGGAAGCTTCAGGCCAGAGGCACTTGGGAGTGGGGAAGGCATCATGGAGAAAAAGGTCAGGGCTCCTTCCATGCCCTGAGGTCACAGCGGGTCTCCCTCTCTCCCAGCTTCTCCCTGGGCTCTTGTGTCTGGGAGTCAGGGCTGGCTCAGCTGGGGTTCTTTGGTGAGTGGGAAGGACATAGGGCACTCAGCGTCTCAAGTGCAAATTTTAACATAATCCTCAATGAGAGGTTTCGCCCAGTAGCCTCCTGTCCACAGATCCCATGTCTTCTTGCTGGACTCCTGAGGGGGTTGCCCAGCCAGGGACACGAGGCGTTTTACTTTTCCCTGCCAAGTGAAAGACCATGTTAATCTGTGAGGCCAGCTCTGTCCTGGAGAGTTGTCACTTTCTAGGTGCTCACACCACACACATGTATATATATATATATATATATATATATATATATATATATATATATATATATATATATATACACACACATACCATGAGGTCATTGACACTTACCAAGGGGGCGAACCAGGGATGTCAGGATCCACGGGGCCCCACCCAGGGGCTGCTGGGAAGGCACTTTTGTCCAAGGAGGTACCCCGGCCTGAACCTCCGCTGTTCCCTTTTTTTTTTCCTTCCACAGGTGCCTCTACCTCCCCTTTCAAGCCTTATCATCCTTTCTGGGCCTTCTTGCCCCATTGGGGTAAAACCGCGAGTGTGACATGCACCGTGGGTGAGCACCAGGGACGCCAGGATCACCAGGGCCCTGTGCAGGGTCTGCTGGGAGGGCACTTTCATCTGTGGGGGGACCCAGGCACCCCTTCTCTGCCTCGCCATTTTTTTTCTTCCACAGGTGTCTCTACCTCCCCTTTCTAGCCTTATCTTCCATCCTGGGACTTCTTACCACTTTGGGGTGCCCCCCATGGGTGTGACATGCACCTTGGGTGTGAATCAGGGATGGAACTAACCCCGGAGCCCTGTGCAAGTGCTGCTGGGAAGGCACTTTAGTCCATGTGGGGACACAGGCCCCCCTCCTCTGCCGCACGTATTTTTTACCTTCCACTAGTGCCTGTTGCTGCTTTGGGTTTCCCCCCAGTGGGAGGGACAGGCATCGTTGGGGCGAACCAGGGACACCAGTATCCCCAGGACCAAGCTCAGGAGCTGCTGGGAAGTCACTTTCATCCATGGGGGGACCCATGCCCACCTCCTCTGCCGTGCCGTTTTTTATTCCTTCCACAGGTGCTTCTACTTTAAGCTTCAAGCCTTCTCTTCCATTCTGGGCCTTCTTGATGCTTTGGGGTGCCTCCCGCAGGTGCAACACGCACTGTGGGTGTGAACCAGGGATGCCAGGATCCCCCGGGCCCTGTGCAGGGTCTGCTGGGAGGGCACTTTCATCCGTGGGTTGACCCAGGCCCCCCTTCTCGACTGCGCCATTTTTTTCCTTCCACAGGTGCCTCTACCTCCCCTTTCAAACCTTATCTTCCCTTCTGGGCTTTCTTGCCCCTTCCGGGTGCCCCCACCACCATGACAGGCAACGTGGGTGTGATCCAGGGATGCCAGAAATCCCGGGGACTCCGTAGGGGCTGCTGGGAAGGCACATTCTTCTGTGGGGGGACCCAAGCACCCCTCCTCTACGGTGCCCATTTTTTTCCTCCACAGGTGCCTCTACCTCCCCTTTCACGTCTTGTCTTCCTTTCTGGGCTTGCTAGAAGCTTTGGGGTGCCCCCCATAGGTGCGATATGCAGCGTGGGTGTGAACCAGGGACGCCAGGATCCCTGGGGCCCAGTGCAGGGTCTGCTAGGAAGGGACTTTCGTCTGTGGGTGGACCCAGGCCCTCCATCTCAGCCCCACCATTTTTTTTTTTCCTTCCACAGGTTCCTCTACCTCCCCTTTATAGCATTAACTGCCATTATGGGCCTTCTTGGAAGTGCTGGGAACTGCAGAACCACAAAAAGGGAATCACAGCCCTGGCTCAGGAAGCTCCCACGTCTGGGCTCCTGAAAAGAGTAGTAGCTCTTCTCTTTTTCTCTTCACCTACAACTTGGTGAGCAAGGGGCATGTTTCAGCTTTGTTTGTGTTACTGCTTTTAGCCCCACCATTAGGCGGGTCTTGTCCTGCAACCAGGAAGAATGAAATATGCAGACAAGTGGAGAGTGAGCAAGATAAAGAGGACCTTTATTGAGCAATAGAATGGGGAAGGGGGGACCTCCTGGGCCCTCGAGAGCACTAGGGGACCTTGTTTGGTAACTGCAACCTGGGCAGCTTCAGTTGTGCCTTTGGAGCTACGGCCCTGCCGACTTGGGAGGACCAGGACTCCCTCTTGTCCCAGGATCCCATCAGCTCCAAAGTGTGCACAGCCTCAGCTTTGCCCTCTCTCTGTTTCCGTGCAGAGGTGACAGGTGAGATGCAGGTTCACAGCAGCTCTGGTCAACCCCACAGAAACAAATCTGAAGCTCCTGGGTCCGGTTTAATGAGCCCCAACTGCGCTCTGATCCAGGAGTTTGCAGGCTAACAGCACAAAGTGGGGAGTGAGGTCGAGGCTGTGGTGGAGACTGCGGACCTAGGGGCAAGTCCCGTTTAGCCGTGAGAGGGTATGGGTGGCACAGTTGGCTGCCTCAGGGACATGGGGCACAGGCCTGGCTGACAACCCAGCCAAGAGGTGGTGCCTTTAGGAGTGGATCGTGGTCCACAGGCCCAGCAATCGGAAGCATCAGGCTCTGTGTTCACCCCTCTTGGGGGCAGATCTTGGAAATGCAGCCTCAGGAAGATTCACACAGAACTCCTTTTTAGACCTAGGAACTTGATACTATTAGCAGGGTGGGCACACAGTTGATGCATAGCTGGCCAGGTCATTGAACTTGGTGCCATTTCTGCTTCCCAACTCGGGGCCCTGGAGCATGGCCCCAGCTCTGCCTTTGGAACCTGACAACCACACTTCATGTGCAAGCACGGCACCACCCCAAGCCCATCTTCTCCTCATGGCCTCTTTCTGCCTGTGCCTTTGTGCCCGACCGAGCTGCTCCCCACAGTCGAAAAAGTATGAAAAAACAGATGACTAAAGAGAAGTAAAGGATGGGTGCAGACCATTCGCACACCTGTAATCCCAGCACTTTGGGAGGCCAAGGTTGGCGGATCACTCAAAGCCAGGAACTCAAGACCAGCCTGGTGAACAGGGTAAAACCCTGTCTCTACGAAAAATACAAAAATTAGCAGGCTTGGTGGCACGTGCCTGTACTCCCAGCTACTTGAGTGGTTGAGGCACGAGAATCACTTGAGCCCCACAGGAAAGGATTCCAGTGATCCCAGATTGCACCACTACACTCCAGCCTGAATGACAAAGCAATATTTTTGTCTCCAAAAATAAAAAAATAAATAATGAAATAAAAGAACAAGAATGGGTGGGAATTACTCAAAATGGTCTAATTTTATTTGGCTGCTATGATGTTCCGCAGCTGAACCTCAATCACAGACAAACTAGTGCCTCGTTATTTTTCCATCAGTAACTCAATAACTAGAGATTTCTGATGTATAAATCCCTAAAACAAGTAAATCTATTACAGAGGACACCAGAAGGTTTTCACTGAGGTTCTCTATTTCTGATATTTCTTGGTAATCATCCTTGCAGGGATAACATTCTCATCACTGAAGAATTTTAGTTTCTCTTTCTGACTCTGTAGCTCTCATTGACTCCACCTCAATATTTTCCTCAAGTCTTGCCCCCTGCTCTTAGGATTTTTTCCCTCGCACTGAGCACCTGTCTGAAACAGAGCTCTGTGCTTCCTTTAAGTTGCACATGTGGCCTGGGCACAGTCGCTCATGCCTGTAATCCCAGCACTTTAGAAGGCCGAGGCAGGAGAATCCCATGCGACCAGCAGTTTGAGACCTGCTGGGGCAACATAGTGAAACACTTTCTCAATTTTTTTGTAATAAAAATATTGGAATTATTAAAAAAGGAAATAAGAAAAGAGGAAAATAACTTGCACCTACATACTAGATTTTAGTGTCCAAGGGCCTAGAAGAGAACATTGGATTTCTCTACCCCGCTAGGCACGCCTTCCCTAGCAGCAAAGATGGAGCTCCAGTTCCTCAGACGGTGATGAGCCACAGGACGGGCAGGGGGCGGGGCCAATGAAGATCCTCTTGGGCTGCCTGACTTCCCTTAGTGTACACATCAACTAAGCCCGAAGTGGGGTGAAGATCTCCCAATCGACATGAACCAAGGAATTCAAACTCTCCTCGGGGGCAGGATACATCTCCAGGCTTAACTTGCTCAGCCCACTGGTGTGGCACAGCAGGTCCTTCAGGGCTTCCATAGACATGCAATTTCTGCCAAAGTAGAAGGTGGTGAGCTGGGAGCAGCGGCTCAGGCCAGGCAGGATGGCACTGAGTTGGGAGTAGTGGATCTGACAGCCCTCCGAGATGAGGGTCTTAAGAGTAATTGCTGCCTCTCTCGAGACCCTCGTGTTGGCAGAAACTTTCTCCAGCAGAGCTCCGAGGGGTTCAAGACTGATACAGAACTGCAGCATGTAGCTGAGATTCAGATGCTTTGGGTAAGCGAGGCTTGGGTACTGGTAGAGACACTTCAAGTCCTCTTCCAATAGGTAGCCGCAAGTTAATTCCAAGTTCTCCAAGGGGTTCTAGAGGCACCTGTGGAGATCAAGAAGTTAGTTCTGGGCAATGGTACCAGTTAGATGAAGGTAGTGGGGAATGAACTCAAGGAAAATACCTGCTTCAACCAAACACAAGTTTGTTCCCACCATCTGATGATGGTCCTCATGCAAGTTGCTGCATGTTGAGGACCCTGATCATTCAGGGGCTGTCCCATTTTAGCCTCAGCCCTTTCACCATTTCTTGTGTGATTGGGTCAAGGCCACAAAATCTCTAAAGCCTTTTATCTTCATCTTTTAGCAGAAAACCTCATCTCTGGGCCACAGGTACCCGGTGGGAGATGTGCACAAAGAACTCAACTCAGCAAGGTCTAGGGACATTAGCTGGGGCTACCTGCCGGCAGGGGCTCCCTGGCCTGCCTGCATCTGCAAACCAACTGTCACTTTTTACCACTCTCACTCCTACTCCTTCACCCTCCATCCCAGAAGCATGCATGTCCCATGTCAATTGACTTTCCTGGAGTTCAAAACAACCTTCTACAGACAGGGAATCAGAGACAGGATCATTCATGATCACTAAGCTGGTGAGGACAGAGCTTCTACTGTGAAATGCACAAGTTTGATGCACTGTCCCTCCTTTCATACCCTCCTTTGTTACCTCTTTTACATCATATCAACTTGAAACACACTTTGTAACAAGAAATTCACACGTGCACATGCAGTAGAGACAAAACGCCCACTAAGTACCTTGTACATGATGTCCCTCTCTAGCCTCTACCCTAGGTGACCCCTCTGCCTTTATTGAAGTGATCCTGTGATAGCCACTCCAGGACATGGAGCACTGAACGGGACAATGTGTTGACATTCTGGTGTTCCCTGCACTGTGCCGTCGCCACTGGCTGGCACACAGTACACGTCTTCTAGTGTTTACTGTAACAAAAAAAAAAGGCTGCGCTGTGGTCTGCAGAGAAAGGGCACGATCCTTTCTCACCTGATCAGCTGTCCCAGGTGCCCTCTGTGGAAGGTGACCATATTCATTTTAAGCAGCTGGAGGTGTTTCAGCCTGAGGAACATAGAGCTGATTTTGGCGACTGAGCATTCCTCGCGGTAATTGACGTGTAAGGATGGCACCTGGAGAAAAATGAGTTTGCGAAGATTCTTCATCTCCTTCAGGTAACAATGAAGCTTTCTTATCAGATGTGGCCAGGACACATAGCAAATTTCCAGCTCCTGAATACTATTCAGGTGGATTATTTTCAATGATCTTCTGAGATATTCAATCGACGTTAGATAATTCACCAACTTACTACAGCACAGGTGTACTAAACCTCTCCTTTGGTAAACCCACCGGAAGAGGTATCTCAGGCATTCATCCTGGGGTATTTCCTTGAGGCAGATGTCTATGAACACCTTCAAGGGCTGGTGCTCTCCCATCCTTGGACAGTCCTCTGCTGTCTGCCTCTTACTCATGGCCTCTGGGGAGGAGGACAGGGCCCTGGATTCAGACCATATGGCCCAGAAATTCTCATCAACATCCCGCAAATCCAGCACTTGAAGTTTCCACCTCCTGTGGGTAAAGTAAGGCAGAGGCTCAGAACTTTGAAGGACAAATCCCTGACCTTTGCTTTCATTCTCATCCAATAAATCAGCTGCTCCTGTCCTCGCTGCTCCCTGTTCTCTCTGAGTTTTCTTGGTCCCTTTTCTCTTTCAATTCTGACTGGTCCCCACTTCTATTCCATTTACCTTCCACTGGGAATAGGCAAGTTTCTGTTCCCACAGTGGACCCTACATTGTGGGCAGTTCTTTCCCTGAGGATCTGGGCAATGGCCAAGGCATGCCTGAGCTTCGTCACCAGCACCACCAGAAGACACTGGGCCATCCTTGGGATACTTCTTTGCCTGACCCTGCTGTTCTTTCCCTGGACACCTGAGCCCCATCTACCAGCCTTCCTGGGTCACCTCACCTGGGGCGATCCTTCTGTGTAAGCAGCATGTGAAGCCCTTCCAGCAATGCTTTTAAGGTCTCCAGATGAAGCGTCTTCATCAGCGATCCCAGAGGGAGGCGGGTGAAGGGCCAGGCCTGCACCATCACTGTCAGAGTCTGGAAGTGTCTCCTGCTGAAGGCCTCCAGGAAGAGTGGGAGGTAGAGCTCCCTGGGCAGCTCCTCCAGGGCAGAGATGGCCAAGGGCTTGTCTCTCAGCAGACTCTGCCCCGCCAGCTCCAGGAGTCTGGGTGGGGCCTGGATGCTCATCCTGATGAATCTGTAAGGAAAAACTCTAGAAGACAAATCCAGAGAAAAGGCATCACTTTCAGGCCAAACACAATCACCTCATCTTCTCCTAAGGCCAATAGCATTGCTCTGGTAGAGGTAGAAAAATTACCACTTTACCCCAATTCCACTCTGCACTTGGTGGCCACAAATCTATATTTCTGCTTCTGCTGGTACCAGGAAGAATGTCTTCCAAACACCAAGGAGGGAGGGGTCAAAGAGACCACTGGCCCATTAATTTTCATCCATGGCTCCACTGAATCCCAGTACCACTGGAAAGTGTCACTGAGGATCCTGAAAGCCAAGCTCTACCTCTTTGAGGAAAATTTTCTTGTCACTTACCGCCCTAAAGCAATGAGAATGAGAGTGTCCTGTGGCCCCAGACAGCCTCCATTCTCAGTTTTCACCATGAACATGCTGGGGGAACACTAAAGGGACTCCCTAAAGTCAATGCCATTATTTTTTATTTTGAAAAATTTCAACCAGAAACTGACCGGGTGCTGTGGCTCATGTCTGTAATCCCAGCACTGTGGGAGGCCAAAACAGGCAGATCACTTGAGGTTAGGAGTTCGAGAACAGCCTGGCTTACGTAATGAACTCTGTCTCTACTAAATATAAAAAAATTAAAAATCATTTGACTCCAAAAGGCAGAGGTTGCAGTGAGCCGAGATCCCACCACTGCACTCCAGTCTGGACAAAAGAGTTAGACTCTGTCTCAAATAATAATAATAATAATAATAATAATAATAATAATTAATTAATTAAAATGTTAGCCAGGTGTGGTGGTGCAGTCCTATAATCCTAGCTACTCTGGAGGCAGAGGAAGAAGAATCACTTGAATCCCGGAGGCAGTGTTTTCAGTGAGCTGAACTCAACACCCTGCCCTTCAGCCTGGGTGACAGAGTGAGACTCCATCTCAGAACAAGAGAAAAGAATTAACCAGAAACTAAAAGCGACGTGATGGTATTCTAGAGCATTTGGAAGGTAGGGATAGAAATACTAACTCTAGATGAGGCACAGTGGCTCACTCCTGTAATCCCAGCACTTTGGGAGTCCAAGGTGTGTGTTTTTATTTTGAAAAACTGTAAGAGAAATTATAAAAGCAGTGTTGCAGTAGTCTAGAGCACTTGGAAGGTAGAAATGGAAACACTAAGTCTGAGGAGAAGGATCCAATACACATCCCTTCCACATACTCACAATCACACACTTAGGGACAGAGTCTAAGGGAAGAGATAAATCCCAGGTTCGGAACAAGTCTCTTGAGAATGGTGTACGGGAGATCTAAGATTTCTGTAAAATGAAAGCCTGACTAATAAAATCACAATACCGCTAAGTGTGTGAACTATAGCTGACAGGCACAGAAACCAACAACTTCACATGTCAAGACATAAACATCCATCCAACTGTAAATTTTTAATATTTTTTTTTTAAAAACTGCTTCAATAAGAATTTTGAAATGAGGAAAATGAAGCACAAATCAAAATTTGAGGGATGAAGTCAAAACTATATTTGGAGGAAAAATCAAAACCTACATCTGTTTAATCTGAAAAAACAGACAGGAAATTCTCTGTGCCATTTTGGGCTGTGTGTCACCATCCCTGACTGGCTGGCTGCAGATTAGACGGGCATGTTCCTAAGAAGGTGGTGACTTACCAGATCTGGACTCAGTTTGCAGGGTGCTGGGACCTCTCAGAGAACCAAGCAGTAGCTCCAGGCACCAGGGCTTTGGGTCTGTCCTGTGCAAACTCAGGAGCTTTTGTTGATGTTTCTAACCACACCCTCCCCTTCTCAATCACCAGCTTCCAATCAGAAAGTGATACCTGATTAGATCCTGAAGTTCCACCCAGTTAATCCTGATTGAGTTTCACACTTTCTTCTGATTCATTGATTAAATTAGATGTGCATTTATGAAAGTGAAAGAATAAATAACAGGGTGAAAGTCCAAAAGTCATTAATTCATTTATTCCCCAAACACTGATGAAGTTTGACTAACATGTGACCTTCATAGTGACATGGAAGGTTTAATCTGTTCCTGGCATTAGAAAGAAAAAACAAAACCTGATGATATCTTTATGGGAGAATATTTGGCCACATTGAAATTATCCAAACGTTTCAGAGCTAAGACAGCTTTAAAAAGACGGTGATGTCAACCCTAAGAAAACAGAATACAAAGCTCTGTTATCCAACAGTTACCTGGGTTTTATGCTTCCTAACGGGGCAGGTCATATGTGGGTTCAGGTTGAAGAGGGGAACCACTGAGGGTGTTATTGATCACAAGACTAAGGTCAAGGCTTCACTGCAGGAAATCAGGACAGAATGACAAAGTGAGGTGGGGGCTGGGCAGGATGGGACCGGGTGTTCTAGTAGAACCCTGGGAAGGAACCAAGACAGCATAAAACATGGTGGGTATTTTGTGGGCATCTCCACAGAAGGATTGAAAGACTCTGTCTGGATTGAGTTTAAAAATTAAAAAGGGAATAGTTACAGAAGAGACAGTGCAGACTCTTCAAACACAACATTGTCTTTGAGGGCAGAGAAGGCAGAAACAGTCTTGGCCCCTACTAGAAGGGAAAGCGTGTTTACTCCCAAAAATGATGGGCTCGCCTCAGAAAATCAGCCTGGGAAGATGGAATCTGAGAATCTGAGCTGGGGCAGATGCCAGAGAGAAGCAGTGTGGCCAGACCTGGGAAGGGAGACTTTCCCAACCTGGAAGCCATCGAAGGTGGGAGCTGTGGGTTTTGCAGGATGTGGGAGAAAGTGAACAAGGGTCCAAGTCTCTGTCATGGTGCTATGGTCTGGAAACCTTTCTTTTAGACTCAGGGATCTTCCCACAGTGGGACATTTCCCAGCAACCCTCACCCACAGGTGTTTCCCAGGGCCCCTCATCCTCATCAATACCCTCGTGCCATTCCCCAGCATATTTTGATAATTAATGTTCTGCCATCCTTAAAGTCCTCCCTTGTCCCTGATATTGAACAGAGAGATTCTGATTAAAGTGATACCATTAGGTATACAAAGAAAACTCAGGCCATGTGTGGTGGCTCATATCTCTAATTTCAGCACTTTGGGAGGCCAAGGCAGATAGATTACTTGAGCGCAGGAGTTTGAGACCTGCCTGGGCAACATGGAAAATTCTGTCTATAAAAACTATATACGAAAAATTAGCCAGGCATGGTGGTGTGCACCTGTAGTCCCAGCTGCCCAAGAAGTTTAGATGCGAGGATCACCTGAGCCCAGGAGGTTGAGACTGCAGTGAGCCATCATTGTGCCACTGCACTCCAGCCTGCTCAACAGAATGAAACCTTGCCTCAAAAAAAAGGAAGGAAAGAAGGAAGGAAGGGAGGGAGGGAGGGAGGGAGGGGAGAGAAAAAGACAGAAGGAAACAGAAAGAAAGGTGGAAAGAAAGAAAAAGAAAGAAGAAAGAAAGTAAGAAAAAGAAAGAAAGAAAGAAAAAGAAGGAAAGAAGGAAGGAAAGAAAAAGAAAGAAAGAAGAAAGAAAGAAAGAAAGAAAGAAAGAAAGAAAGAAAGAAAGAAAGAAAGAAAGAAAGAAAGAAAGAAAGAAAAAGAGCGAGCCTTCTTGTCTTTAAGAGCAGCGCATATATACTGTTATATTGGGTGCACACCTAAAATACATTTCCCCCACAAAACCTGGAAGCTCTATTTCATGTTGAAATATCTGCTAAGTTCACGGATGGCTCCCATCCTAAGAGGGATCACACAGTGATTCTTCCGATGTTTTAGGGCACAAAGTAGCAAGAACCTCCCCTGCCTCCAGAAAGTCCTCCAGGCCTTTCTCTCCCATTCTATATGAAAACCAAACAGCTCTGAGATGCCACTGGCCTCCAAAACTGGAGTACTTTGAAGGGTGTTCTCTATCTTGAAATGTTTCTGTAAATGTTCTTTCTCCACATTTCTGACCTCACTGTCAATGCCCTGCTATGTGTGCAATTGAGTTAAACTGAAATGTGTTCAGTGGGGCTTCTACTTTGCCTGCCCTCACTTTGTGAGCCTGAGGCTGAGGTTGAGCTCAGCACCAAGGGTGATCGTGAGTGTCTCTGGTGACTGAGCATCCACGAGGCACAGCAGGGGCTGGTATCATTCATCCAAGATCTCAGCTCTCCCTCACAAATAATCTAAAGCATGTTGGTGACCCTGAGATTTGGCTAGCAAGAGGAATCTGCCCATGTTCAGACAACAAATGATTGGCAGACCCCTCAGGTGAGAGGCTCAGAGGATCCCCTAAGCAGTTCAACAACCTAAATGTTGGAAAAAACTGGCTGACAGACTTTCCATTCTTTCCCAATTCAGAAGGTCCAGCAAGTAGTGGTTGGTCTCAGGAAGATGGAAAATCACAAACAACAGTTAAAAAAAGAAACTAAGCAAAGGAACACTGGCAAGACACTGTGCCAGTGCCCCCCCCTTTCACCAAGAAGGAAGGCCTCCCACTCCTGAGCCCACTGCGCCCAAGCTTCCACAAGGCCTACATACCCCTAGGCTGCCCAGAGTAGAGAAGAAAGGGTGCAAGACCTCAGGATGCAAGACCCTCCCTTGGCTGCCCGTATGAGGCCTAGAACTGGGATACAAATGTCCCTGAGAGAGCAACAGTATACTGGAGTAGACGAGGATGGGCTTATGGTGGAAAGACGTGCCTTTGTGTACCAACCCTTCACCTCTGCCCATCTCCTCCATTGGAAAACAATACCCCATCCTATACCGAAAAGCCTCAAGCTATAATTTAT
Source organism: Homo sapiens (assembly GCF_000001405.40). NCBI lineage: Eukaryota > Metazoa > Chordata > Mammalia > Primates > Hominidae > Homo > Homo sapiens. Next base: position 69,604 of record NT_187517.1, on the reverse strand, counting down.
TTGCTCCAAACTGTTATCCAGACCCACAACCCCACCTGGGCTGATTGCCACCAGGTGCTCATGCACCTCTTTAACACAGATGAAAGGTGGAGAGTGCTCCAAGTGGCAACTAAGTGGCTGGAAGAACATGTTCCAGCTGATTACAAAATCCCCGAGGGTATGTGAGGATCCAACTAGCAGGAACAGACCCCCAGTGGGACCCAAATGAAAGACAGGGTATGCAAAGCCTAAACCAGTACAGGGAAGTCCTTCTGGAAGGATTACAGGCGTGAGCTGCCTCACCCGGCCTTGAATGAGTGAATTCTTGACTTCTACCCTATCCCTAACACTGTCAATTTCCTGATTCATGCAATTAATATGGATATCTGATATGAATGGATATCTGATTCAATCCATTAATCTGGGGAGAGCCAAAAACCCAATCAGGATTAACTGGGTGGAGCTTCAGAAATGCAATCAGATATCACTTTTTGATTGGAAGCTAGTGATCCGCCTGCCTTAGTCTCCCAAAGTGCTAGGATTGCAGGCATGAGCCACTGCACCTGGCCGGTATTTTCTGTTTTGTACAAGATGTTCCAGAAAGAAAGGCAAATATGGAAAGTTGTCTAATTCATTTCATAAGAGAGCAGTAACCCATATTTTAAAAATGGCTAAGGATATTAGAAGGAAAGTAAATTTAAACTTATTTGGCAAAAGTTTTTTTTCTTTTTTCTTTCTTTTTTTTTTTTTTTGAGACAGAGACTCACTCTGTCATGCAGGCTGGAGTGCAGTGGCACAATCTCACCTCACTGCAACCTCTTACTCCCAGATTCGAGCAATTCTCCTGCCTCAGCCTCTCTAGTAGCTGGGATTAGAGCCACATGCCACCACATCCAGCTAATTTATGTAGTTTTAGAAGAGGCAGAATTTCTCTGTGTTGGCTAGAACTCCTGACCTCAGGTGATCCACTTGCCTCGGCCTCCCAAAGTGCTGGGATTACAGGCATGAGCCACCACGGTCAGCCAGAAAAAAGTACTTAATAAATTATCAGTTAACTAAATGCAACACTGCATTAGAAAGTGATAGACAGGCCAGGCTCCGTGGCTCACGCCTGCAATCCCAGCACTTTGAGAGGCCGAGGCAGGTGGATCACCTCAGGTCTGGAGTTCGAGACCAGCCTGACCAACATGGAGAAACCCCATCCCTACTAAAAATACAAAATTAGCCAGGTGTGGTGGCGCATGCCTGTAATCCCAGCAACTCAGGAGGCTGAGGCTGGAGATTTGCTTGAACCAAGAAGGTGGAAGTTGCAGTGAGTCGAGATCATGCCATTGCACTTCAGCTTGTGCAAAAAGAGTGAAACTCCACCTTAAAAAGAAAAAAAAAAGAAAAAAAGAAAGCAATATAGTGATATATAATGGCCATTCCAGGAATGCCAGCCAATCACAGGAAAATCTAAGTGTAATTCAGCATACTGACAAACTAAAGGGGGAAAAGCAAGGTTCCTACAAAATGCAGAAAAGAATTGCAGAAAAATCAAATTAAATTTATCATAACATATTTCGGAAACTGAAATGTTGTATGTTGAAAACTTGCATTAAACATCAGATGTAATGGATAAACATTAGCTCCCTTCCTACTGAGATATGAAACAAGGTAAGAACCTCAGCACCTTAGGATTTGGACGCACGTAGGTATTTTGGTTAATAGTAAAGACTCCAGATCCAGCAGACCCAGACTGCTTAATTTAGGTTCAAAACTGGCTCAGTACCATCCTGGCTAACACGGTGAATCCCCGTCTCTACTAAAAACACAAAAATTAGCCGGGCATGGTGGCAGGTGCCTGTAGCCCCAGCTACTCGGGAGGCTGAGGCAGCAGAATGGAGTGAACCCGGGAGGCAGAGCTTGCAGTGAGCTGAGATCGCGCCACTGCACTCCAGCCTGAGCGACAGCATGAGATGCTGTCTCAGAAAAAAGAAAAAAAACTGGCTCAGTGGCCAATGGCTGTGTGGTCTTACTCAACTTACTTAACCTCTCTGTGCCTTAGCTCATTCACATATAAAATGGGATAATAGCAATATTGACTTCACAGAGTGCTATAAATTAATCTATTTAAGTACTTCGAGCTGGATTTGACATAGGGCAAGCAAGGATATTTTTATTGTTATTATATTTGAAAAATATATTAGTTACAAACTTAGGTAAGAGACCAAGGCCTATGGTAAAGGTGATTATAAGCCTTCATACACCACTGTTGTTCTGAAAATCTTAATTATAACAAGGCCAGGCACGGTGGCTCACGTCTGTAATCCCAGCACTTTGGGAGGCCAAGGTGGGCGGATCACCTGAGGTCAGGAGTTCGAGACCAGCCTCACCAACATGGCGAAACTATCTCTCTACTAAAAATACAAAAAATAGCTGGGCATGGTGGTGGACACCTGTAATCCCAGGTATTCGGTAGGTTGAGGCAGGAGAATCACTTGAATCCAGGAGGCAGAGTTTGCAGTGAGCCATGATTGAACTATTGCTCTCCAGCCTGGCGAGAGAGTGAGACTCCATCTCCAAAAAAAAAAAAAATTATAAGAACATGTCCATTCACTCTCCAAAGTATCTAGGACTGGACAATTACTTGTCAGGCCCTCTTCTGTAGCACCATACACTATAGCATATATGTGGATTAATATAAATACACATACAAAATTCAAGTATATATTCTATATACTTTCTATATATTTATATTCTAAGAGGTCACATGCAAATTCAAGGCTAGGTCAAAGAGTAGAGTGGCTATCTATGGAAAGGGGAGTGGAAGTGAATCATGGTAATAAAAAAAGGTGTAGATATAGTTATGGATAGGTAGACATACACACATATAGCGGCAAGAAAAGGGAATGTCATGGACCAGTGATGACAGTGAGCCATGTAAAAAGGCTACAATTTTTGTGATTGTGTGTCCATTTTCAGGATTGGTTGTAGCTTACCTTTTTAGAAAGGCTGATGCCATAGTCATAGTGAATAAATGATTATAAAATGTGTTTCCTTTCTGGCGAACCTCTGGAGAAATTTCCAATGGTAGGAGAACTCAGTTTACTGGGCAGGCGATCACACAGATAAGATTTTACAGATCTAATGGCACTACCATTAACTTCATTATCATTGGTATTCTACAAAGGTTGAGTGAACAAATGGTATCTTAAAATTAAATTAGCTAAATTAACAAAAAAGATTGGATTACTTTTTCTTTTTTTTGACACAGAGTCTCTGATGCCCAAGCGGGAGTACAGTGGTGCTATGTCATCTCACTGCAACATCTGCCTCCCGGGTTCAAGAGATTCTCCTGCCTCAGACTCCTGAGTAGCCGGGATTACAGGCACACACCACCACACCCAGCTGATTTTTGTATTTTTAGCAGAAACGGGGTTTCACCATGTTGACCAGGTTGGTCTTGAACCCCTGACCTTGTGATCTCCCTGCCTCAGCCTCCTGAAGTGCTGGAATTATAGGCTTGAGCCACCTTGCCCAGCCTAATCTTTTTTTCTTTTCTCAAAGGACTTCTATGCACTTAGGAGAGTGAGCCCATCGTTCAGTAACAACATGATTCAATACTGCAAGACCTTGATGCAGTATTTCAAAGTCTTTCCAGTAGGTGAGGGAGGCTTTCAGTGATGCTTAGACCTTCATGCCCTAGAATTTGGAGATTGCATCCTTTAGAAATGATACCAAGGGAAATCTGCCCATGAGCAGCACTGGATGGGACTGTACCAGATGACTTAAAACTAAGGATAACCAAGGAAAAGCCTTCCTTAGAAGCAGACATCATCACATGGTAGACAGTTTTCCAAGACAATGGAACAAGACTCCATTTGATCTTCTTCCATTGACTGAGACTTGGTTTTGTTTTGTATTAAAACAAAATGCTCAAACCTATATTTTATGTTGTTAGGTACTTTCTCCACTCAAACCAAACACTTTCTAAGGTCTTCTGTTCAAAATGTAGCCACTCTCACTAACCAAAGCAATTGCTGGCTATGGAGTCATTTACATGAAAGGGAAGGATCACAACTAAATAGTAGAACATGCTCTCATAAACAGTTGGGTAGCAACTGAGGATGCCAACTTCATCATAAGGTTTGTTATCCTTCCTTTGGAAGGTTGGTTAACATTTATAATTACATGACTTGGCACTGAGAAGAAGCTATAGGTGCAAATGGGTGGCCTATGACTATTATTGATTACATTACTGGCATTTTATCTCTATGCATAAAAAACATTAGTGAAACTGGATCTAATCTAGGTAGTGTCGCAGATTCCCACTAGAATCAAACTCTTTGGTTTGACACACCTTATGAAGACTGGAGTGCTATAGGTATCGACATAGACATAGAATCAGAACATGACCATGTTACCCTCTGCCATTTAATCAGAGAACTTACTGAAACTAGACATTGGTTCATTGGAAACTCTAGAGGCAAATAGAATGTGTCTATAGCTCTACTATGTGAAATACATAATAGTTTTATTTATTGGATGCATCAATACTCAGGACATATTTGGAGAGGAACCTATTCATTCTTCAATGCAGATGGCATGCAAGGATTACTTTATAAAACTCATAGAAATACTTTTTCTTCCCACCCCAATTCAAACCATTACCATGCAACCTGGTATCAATAGAAGTTAAGGCCATTGAGGTAGAAATAATTAAATAAAGCTTTATTGGAAGCTAAATGTGAGAATCGACCTGGAAGACACACACTGACAAAGTGAGTGTTTTCCAAAGTCTGTTACAAGTTGGAATGCTTTTGTAAGAGAGGTTAAAAGAAGGGAATGGGACTCCTCCTATCAATTTTTTTTTAATTTTCTTTTGTTTTATTGACCTGGCAAGGCTCAAATAGAGTTGAGTTTTTGTTTTTGTTTTTCCCATTGGAAGGTACAAGACAGAGGTTACAATCGTTAGCTTTAGATGACAACATAACAGGCTAAAACATTTTCCTTGCAAGACAACCAGCATGACTTCATGATCAGAATAAAATCAGTGTCCTTCTCACTGTCAGCAGGTGAAGACTTCATCAGTACTTGTAGAGTTTGAGGTACTCATGAACTCATGATCAGATTCTTTACTCAGGGACAGGATGTAAGCCAATGCTAAGACCTTCCATAGGTGGCTAATTTTTAAGCTTGCCCCAATGAGACCTTCAGGTTTTCACTGGCAATATGCAGGTGCAGATATGACAAAGAATAACAATGACCTTCATATCACCTCCAGCTGTTGAGGAATGGGATCCTTTTCACCCTTCCTGTCCATAAAACCAAGTTACTCATCTTCAGTGGCAACAAAATATATGGTAAACTTAACAGAGAAGGAGACTGTCAGAAAAAAAAAAAAAAAAGATGTGTTTATCCTGAAATGAGGAAAGCAATGGGAATAGATGTGAGATTATTTTGGGAGAAAAAGGAAGACAAAGGTTTTGAAAGGAAAAATAAGGAGGATTATACAAATTGTTTTGAAAGACTCAACCTTGGTCCTAAGAATCAAAAGTAAAGGGGCATCAGTGAAATGTTGGATAGATTCCACCTCCACCCCCTCAGTAACCCCCAACATGTTTACCAAGTCTTGGTTAACTCCCAGGATCCCATTAAAACACCCAGCTCAACCATGCCCATCCTCTACCCTCACTTCTCTTTGTAATTTTGACATGATTTTATTACAGGACCATCAGGTTCCTATGCCTGCTGCACAGTAGCTGACCAATATTCTGAGACAGCAGTGTTTGCAGCAGACAGTTTAATGATCACAGGGTGGCTAAATGAGAAGCTAGGAGGATATCCTCAAATTCATCTCCCCAAGTAGTACTGAGGGTTTCCAGTGGATCCTGGATAGCAAGGGGCTGGAAAGTTGGTGTAGAGGTAAGAGGGATGAAGTCATCAGGATGTCAAAACTGCATTCTTTGGTGAGTTGGTGCCTTGCAGAGCCCTTCAGATCAGCTGGCATCAGTAGTTTCACTGACATGCAGAACCTGAAAGAATATCTCAAATGAGAAAGTTAATGTTTTACAAGGCTTAAATTGTTGTCTGCAGGGTAGTTAAGGGGAACTGTAAGCTAAGGTCTACTTGATTTGGGGACAGTAAGCTGCCAGCAACCATGAGGAAGAAGGTCAGAGAGCAAGCTGACCTCATGGTGAATGCTGAATGCGCTGCAAGCTTGGTTTATTTTTGTTTCTCCCCCTCCCTTCTTCACTGATTAAACTTATAAAGTTTACAGGTATCATTTCAATTTCTTCCAGAGAAGACTTAACCTAAGCCCTGAGACCACTCAAGCCCTCAGTGGCACCTCTCTTCCACCAGCACGAGTGAAGAAACTGCTACCTTAGGTGATATAAAACCCACAAGACCATTCCATACATGGAGATCTTTATTCTTATTTTGTAGGGACGACTCCTCTGTGTTTATACAGCTATTTTAACTAGAAATATTTTTATAAATTTTATAATTTTGATGTGGCCAAAGATCTCCCCACAACACTACTTTCAGGTTTTATTTTTCTGTCTAATGTCTGGAACAGATCAACCCCTTCCCTGCCTCACATCAGGACTTGAAGGCGAAATAGCAGTAAAATTCCATCAGTGTTTGTGGATTTCATGAATGAATGCATTTTTTTTGACAAAATCTCCCTCTGTCACCCAGTCAGGAGGGCAATGGTGTAATCTTGGCTCACTGCAAACTCAGCCTCCAGGGTTCAAGGGATTCTCCCACCTCAGCCGCATGAGTAACTGGACTACAGGCAGCCACCATCGTGCCTGGCTAACTTTTCTATTTTTGTAGAGACAGGGTTTCACCATGTGGGCCAGGCTGGTCTTGAACTCCTGACCTCAGGTGATCCACCTACCTTGGCCTCCCAAAGTGCTGGGATTACAAGTGTGAGCCACCTCACCTGGCCTTGAGTGAATGAATTCTTGACTTCCAGTCTATCCCTAACTCTGTCAATTTCTTAATTCATGAAATGATTATGCATATGTGATATGAATGGATATCTCGTTCAATCCATTAGTCTTCGGACAGTCAAAAACCCAATCAGGATTAACTGAGTGGAGCTTCAGAAATGCAATCAGATATCGCTTTTTGATTGGAAGCTAGCAGCGGATACGTGGAGGGGCGTGGGTGGGAGTTGTGATTAGAAAGGTCAATAAAAGCTTCTAAAGACCCACAGGACAAACTCAAAGTCTTCAAGCCTGGAGTTCCTGCTTGGCTCTTCCTGAGGTCTGAGCACCTTCTAAACTACAACCAGATCTGGTAAGTCACTAATTTCTGTAAGGACACTCCCATGTGACCTACAGTCAGCCGGTCTAGAACGGTGACAGTGCAGCCTACGATGGCATAGAACTATATCATGTCTTTTTTTCTTTTTTTCATATGAACACTTTGAAGCTTTGATTTTTTTTTCTAAATGCAATTTTGTCGTGATTTCAAAAATGTTGTTGTGCTTTTCTTTACATCATTTCAGAATTCTTGTTGGCAGCCATTTTGTGAAGAGACGAAGACTGAGCTGTTTTGGCTGCATTTCTGGCCTCGAGCCGCAGTCAGCTTCTCCCCGTAGAACCCGGCAGTAGGAGACTTAGAATCGAATCTCTTCTCCCTCCCGCCTCCTGTTTTTGGCTTTTTGAGAAACCTTATCATCCAACACAATGGCCAGCAACGTTACCAACAAGATGGATCCTCACTCCGTGAACTCCCGTGTGTTCATTGGGAATCTCAACACTCTTGTTGTCAAGAAATCTGATGTGGAGGCGATCTTTTCCAAGTATGGCAAAATTGCGGGCTGCTCTGTTCATAAGGGCTTTGCCTTCGTTCAATATGATAAGGAGAAAAATGCCCGGGCTGCTGTAGCAGGAGAGGATGGCAGAATGATTGCTAGCCAGGTTGCAGTTATTAACCTGGCTGCAGAGCCAAAAGTGAACCGAGGAAACGCAGGTGTGAAACGATCCGCAGCGGAGATGTACGGCTCCTCTTTTGACTTGGACTATGGCTTTCAACGGGATTATTATGATGGGATGTACAGTTTCCCAGCACGTGTACCTCCTCCTCCTCCCATTGCTCTGGCTGTAGTGCCCTCGAAACACCAGCGCATATCAGGAAACACCTCACGAAGGGGCAAAAGTGGCTTCAATTCTAAGAGTGGAAAGCGGGGATCTTCCAAGTCTGGAAAGCTGAAAGGAGATGACCTTCAGGCCATTAAGCAGGAGTTGACCCAGATAAAACAGAAAGTGGATTCTCTCCTGGAAAACCTGGAAAAAATTGAAAAGGAACAGAGCAAACAAGAGGTAGAGGTGAAAAATGCTAAGTCAGAAGAGGAGCAGAGCAGTAGCTCCATGAAGAAAGATGAGACTCATGTAAAGATGGAGTCTGAGGGGGGTGCAGAAGACTCTGCTGAGGAGGGGGACCCACTGGATGATGATGATAATGAAGATCAGGGGGACAACCAGCTTCATTTGATCAAGAATAATGAAAAAGATGCTGAGGAAGGAGAGGATAACAGAGACAGCACCAATGGCCAGGATGACTCTTAAGCACATAGTGGGGTTGAGAAATCTTATCCCATTGTTTCTTTACCTAGGAGCTTGTCTAACAACAAATTTTTCACCAGATCCTCTCCCTTAGTATCTTCAGCACATGCTTACTGTTCTCCCCATCCTTGTCCTTCCCACATTCATTAATTCATATTGCCCTGTGCCTAGTCCCATTTTCACTTCCCATGACACCCCTAGTAGTTTTCCTAAGTCTTACCCTGTAATTTTTGCTTTTAATTTTGACACCTCTTTATGACTTAACAGTAAAAAGGATGTATGGTTTTTATCAACTGTCTCCAAAATAATCTCTTGTTATGCAGGGAATACAGTTCTTTTCTTTCATACATAAGTTCAGTAGTTGCTTCCCTAACTGCAAAGGCAATCTCATTGAGTTGAGTAGCTCCTGAAAGCAGCTTGGAGTTACAAGTATGTGTGTTACACCCCATATTAGTGTGCTGTGTGGGGCAGTTCAACAAAAATCTAACAATGTATTTTTGTGAATGAGAGTTGGCATGTCAAATGCATCCTCAGAAACATAATTGGTGTTATAGTCTTCAAATGTGTTTTCTAAAGTTGATACCGTGGGTTATTTTTGTGAACAGCTTGATGTTTGGGACCTTTTCCCTGAAAATAAACAACTCTTTATTAAACCAGCAATTTAAAGAAAAAAAATTCTTGGTGGGAGCAATGACTCATGCCTGTAACTACAACACTTTGGGAGGCCAAGGTGGGAGGATCGTTTGAGCGCAGGGGTTCGAGACCAACCTGGGCAACATGGCAAAACCCTATCTCTACAAAACATTTGTTTTGAGGGGCGGGATGGAGTCTCACTCCGTTACCCAGGCTGGAATGGAGTGGCACAATCTCAGCTCACTCCAACCTCTGCCTCCCAGGCTCAAGCGATTCTCATGCCTCAGCCTCCTGAGTAGCTGGGATTATAGCCACCCACCACCATGAGCAGCTCATTTTTATATTTTGGATAGAGACGGCGGTTCACCATGTTGGCCAGGCTGGTCTCAAACTCCTAACCTCAAGTGATCCACCTGCTTTGGCCTCCCAAAGGGCTGGGATTACACCAGTGAGCCACCAATGCCCTGCCTCTTTTTTAAAAAATTAGATGGGCATGGTTGAAGGGGAGCAGTCTCTCCATACCTGTGGGTATATCGCATCAGGTGGGATGACAGACTGTGAAAAGAAATAAGACACAGAGACAAAGTATGGAGAAAGAACAGGGGGCCCAGGGGACCGGCGCTCAGCATAAAACATGAGCAAAGGAATCTGTGTCACAAATGAGTTCAAGGGAAGGTACTCTGCCTGGATGTGCATGTAGGCCAGATGTATGCTTCTCTCCACCCAAACATCTCAGTGGAGAAAAGAATAACAGAGCAGCATTGCTGCCAACATGTCTCACCTCCCAACACAGGACAGTTTGTCTCCTATCTCAGAATAGAACAAATCTACAATTGGGTTTTATACCGAGACATTCCATTCCCAGGGACAGGCAGGAGACAGAGGCCTTCCTCTTATCTCAACTGCAAGAGGCCTTCCTCTTTTACTAATACTCCTCAGCACAGACCCTTCACGGGAGTTGGGCTGGGGGATGGTCAGGTCTCTCCCATCCCACAAGGCCATATCTCAGGCTATCACATGGGGAGAAACCTTAGACAATACCCGGCTTTCCAGGGCAGAGGTCCCTGTGGCTTTCCACAGTGCATTGTGCCCCTGGTTTATCGAGAATGGAGAATGGCGATGATTTTACCAAGCATATTGCCTGTATACATATTGTTAACAAGGCACATCCTGCACTGCCCTAGATCCCTTAAACCTTGATTCCATACAACACATGTTTTTGTGAGCTCAAGGTTGGGGCAAAGTTACAGATTAATAGCATCTCAGGGCAAAGCAATTCTTCAGGGCACAGGTCAAAATGGAGTTTCTTATGTCTTCCTTTTCTACATAGACACAGTAACAGTCTGATCTCTCTTTCTTTTCCCTACACATGGTGGCATGCATCTGTAGTCCCAGCTACTTGGGTGGCTGAGGTGGGAGAATCCCTTGAATCCAGAAGATTGATGCTGCAGTGAGCCATGCTCACACCAGTGCTGTACTCCAGCCTGGGCAGCAGAGTCAGACTGTTGAAAAAAAAAAATCTTAATCAAACAGTTAAAAAAGTGCAATTAATTGTAATCAGTAGGCAGATCCCAAATTCCCCAAAAAAGGAGAGAAAGAGAGTTTAGAAGGCTCTACATGCTAGCATCCCATTCAGACTGTTTAATCCTACCATTGTGGTTTTGTAAGAAAAACAGTCTTAAAGATTTCCAATAATTCTCACTATGGCCATAAATTATCCTGGGTGTCATTTTCCCATCAACTTAAAAAGGCACGTGAGAGGCCGGGCACGGTGGCTCACACCTGTAATTCCAGCACTTTGGGAAGCCAAGGCAGGTGGAACGCCTGAGATCAGGAGTTTGAGACCAGCATGGCCAACATAGAGAAACTCCATTTCTACTAAAAATACAAAAAATAGCCGGGCGTGGTGGTAGGCATCTGTAATCTCAGGTACTTGGGAGGCTGAGGCAGGAGAAACAGTTGAACCCGAGAGGTGGAGGTTGCATTGAGCCAAGATAGCACCTTTGCACACCAGCCTGGCCACAGAGCAAGACTCCATCTCCAAAAAATACTACTAATAATTATAACAGCATGTCCATTCACTCTCCAAAGTGTCTGGGACTGGACAATTAATTGTGAGGCCCTCTTCTCTAGCACCCTACGCTATAGCATATATGTGGATTAAAATAAATACACATAAAAATGCAAGTATATATGCTATATACTTTCCATATACTTATATTATATAAGGTCACATGCAAATTCAAGGCTAGGTCAAAGAGTAGAGTGGCAATATATGGAAAGGTGAGTGGAAGTGAATAATGGTAATAAAAGGAAACAGATAGATATAGATATAGATATGAATAGGTAGACATACACATATATAGCTGCAAGAAAGGGGGTTGTCATGGACCAATGATGACAGTGAGCCGTGTAAAAAGGCTAAAATTCTTGTGATTGTGTTTCCATTTTCAGGATGAGTTGTAGCTTACCTTTTTAGAAAGGCTTATGATGCAGTCATAGCAAATAAGTGATTATAAAATGTGTTTCCTTTCTGGGCAATTCTGGAGAAATCTCTAATGGTATGAGAATTCAGTTTACTGGGCAGGTTATCACACATAAAATTTTACAGACCCAATGACACTAGCATTAACTTCATTATCCTTGGTATTCTATAAAGGTTGAGTGAACAAATGGTATCTTTAAACTAAAATTAGCTAAACTGACAAAGAAAACTGGATTATTATTATTTATTTTTGAGACAGAGTCTCTGTTGCCCAGGCTGGAGTACAGTGGTGCTACCTTGGCTCACTGCAACCTCTGCCTCCCAGGTTCAAGGAGTTTTCCTGCCTCAGCCACCTAAGTAGCTGGGATTACAGGCACACACAACCACACCCAGCTAATTTTTGTATTTTTGGCAGAAGCGGGGTTTCACCATTTTGGCCAGGTTGGTCTTGAACCCCTGACATCGGGATCTGCCTGCCTCGGTCTCCTAAAGTGCTGGGATTATAGGCGTCAGCCACCACACCTGGCCGAATCTTTTTTTCTTTTCTCAAAGATGTTGTCATAGTATTGGGTTCTATGCACTCAGGAGAGTGAGCCCATCATTCAGTAACAATATGAATCAATACTGCAAGACCTTGATGCAGAATTTCAAAGACTATTTCCAGTAGGTGAAGGCTTTCAGTGATGCTTAGATCTTCCTGCCCTAGCATTTGGAGATTGCATCCTTTGGAAATGACACCAAGGGAAATCTGCGCATGAGCAGCAATGGATGGGACTGTACCAGATGACTGAAACGTAAAGATATCCGAGGAAAAGCCTTCCCTAGAAGCAGACATCATCACATGGTAGACAGCTTTTCCAAGACAATGGAACAAGACTCCATTTGATCTTCTTCCATTGACTGAGACTTGGTTTTGTTTTGTATTAACACAAAATTCTCAAACCTGTATTTTATATTGTTAGGTACTTTCATCACTCAAACCAAACACTTTCTAAGGTCTCCTGTTCAAAATGTAGCCACTCTCACTAACCAAAGCAATTGCTGGCTATGGGGTCATTTAGATGAAAGGGAAGGATCACAGATAATAGTAGAACCTGCTCTCATACACAGTTGGGTAGCAATTGAGGATGCTAACTTCATGATAAGGTTTGTTATCCTTCCTTTGGAAGGTTGGTTAATATTGATAATTAAATGACTTGGTACTGAGAAGAAGCTATAGGTGCAAATGGGTGGCCTATGACTATTATTGATTTCATTACTGGTAATTTATCTCTATGCCTAGAAAACATTAGTGTAACTGGGTCTAACCTAGATAGTGTTCCAGACTCCCACTAGAATCAAACTCTTTGGTTTGACATGCATTATGTAGATGGGAATGCTATAGATATCGACATAGACATAGAGTCAGAACATGACCATGTTACCCTCTGCCATATAATCAGAGAACTTACTGAAACTAGGCATTGGTTCTTTGGAAACTCTAGAGGCAAATAGAATGCATCTATAGCTCTACTGTATGAAATAATAGTTTTATTTATTGGATGCATCAATACTCAGGATATATTTGGAGAGGAAACTATTCTTTCTTCAATGGAGATGGCATGCAAGGATTACTTTATAAAACACACAGAAATATTTTTTCCTCCCACCCCAATTCCAACCATTACCGTGCAACCTGTTGTCAATAGACGTTAAGGCAGTTGAGGCAGAAATAATTAAATAAAGCTTCATTGGAAGCTAAATGTCAGGATCGACCTGGAAGACACACACTGACAAAATGAGCGTTTTCCAAAGTCTGTTACAAGTTGGAATGCTTTTATAAGAAAGGTTGAAAGAAGGGAATGGGACTCCTCCTATCAGTTGTTTTTTTTTTTTAATTTTCTTTTGTTTTATCCTGGCAAGGCTCTAATAGAGTTGAGCTTTTTTGTTTTTGTTTTTTCCATTGGAAGGGACAATACAGAGGTTACAATCATTGACTTTAGATGACAACATGACAGGCAAAAATATTTTCCTTGCAAGACAACCAGCAAAACTTCACGATCAGAATCAAATCAGTGTCCTTCTCACTGTCACTGGGTGAAGCCTTCATCAGTACTTGAAGAGTCTCAGGCACTCATGAAGTCAAGATCAGATTCTTTACTCAGGGACAGGATGTAAGCCAATCATAAGACCTTCCACAGATGATCAATTTGGAAGTCTACCTAATGTGACCTGCAGGTTTTCACTGGCAATATGCAGGTGCAGATATGACAAAGAATAATCCTGACCTTCATATCGCCCCTAGCTGATGAGGATTGGGATTCTTTTGTCCCTTTCTCTCCATAAAACCAGGTTACTCATCTTGTGTGGCAACAAAATATATGGTCTACTTAACAGAGAAAGAGACTCCACAGGAAAAAAAAAAGGATTTTTATTATGAAATGAGCAAAGCCATGGGAATAGATGTGAGATTATTCGGGGAGGTAAAGGAAGACAAAGGTTTTGAAAGGAAAAATGAGGAGAATTACATAAATTTTTTTGAAAGACTCATTCTTGGTCACAAGTATGAAAACCAAGGGAGCCTCAGTGCAGTGTTGGAAAGATTCCTCCTCCACCCTCTCAATAACCCCCAACACATTTACCAAGTCTTTGTTCACTCCCAGGATTCCATTAAAACACCCAGCTCAACCCTGACCAGCCTCCACCTTCACTTCCCTTTGTAATTTTGACATAAATTTGTTACAGGACCATCAGGTTCCTATGCCGGCTGCACAGTAGCTTAGCAATATTGTGAGACAGCAGGGTTTGCAGCAGAAAGTTTAATGATCACAGGGTGGCTGAATGAGAAGCTGGGAGGAGATCCTCAAATTCATCTCCCCAAGGAGTACTGAGGGTTTCCAGTGGATCCTGGATAGCAAGGGGCTGGAAAGTTGGTGTAGTTTGATGGCAATAAGAGGTATGAAGTTATCACGATGTCAGAACGGCATTCTTTGGTGAGTTGATGCCTTGCAGGGCCCTTCAGATCAGCTGGCATCAGTAGTTTCACTGACATGCAGAACCTGAAAGAATATCTCAAATGAAAAACTTAATGTTTCACAATGCTTAAATTGTTGTCTGCAGCGTAGTTAAGGGGAATTGTAGTCTAAGTTCTACACGATTTTGGGACAGTAGGCTGCCAGCAACCATGAGGAAGCAGGTCAGAGGGCAAGCTGACCTCCTGGTGAATGCTGAATGCGTTTCAAGCTTGGTTTGTTTTTGTTCCTCCCCCTCTCTTTTTCACCGATTAAATTTATAAAGTTTAGAAATACGGTTTCAATTTCTTCCAGACAAGCCTTAACCTAAGCCCTGAGACCACTCAAGCCCTCAGTGGCACCTCTCTTCCACCAGCATGAGCAAATAAATTGCTACCTTAGGTGATATAAAACCCACAAGACGATTCGATACATGGAGTTTTTTTTCTGATTTTGTAGGGATGACTTCTTTGTTTCTATAAAGCTGTTTTAACTATAAAACAATTTTATAATTTTGATGTGGCCAAAGATCTCCCAACACTACTTTCAGGTTTTATTTTTCTGTCTACTATCCAGAACAGATCAAACCCTTCCCTGCCTCAAACTCAGGACTATATAGGTCATATATCAGTAAAATTCCATCAGTGTTTGCGGAGTTCATGAATGAATGAATTCTTTTTTTTTTTTTTTTTTTTTTTTTTTGTGACAAAGTCTACCTCTGTCACCCAGAACGGTGTGCAATGGTGCAATCTTGGCTCACTGCAACCATTGCCCCCTGGATTCAAGCGATTCTCCCACCTCAGCCTCCTGAGTAGCTGGATTACAGGCACCTGCCATCATGCCAGGCTAATTTTTGTGTTTTTGTAGAGCTGGGGTTTCATCATGTTGGCCTTGCAGGTCTTGATCGCCTGACCTCAGGTGATCCAGCCAACTTGGACTCTCAAAGTGCAGGGATTACAGGTGTGAGCCACCTCACCCGGCCTTTAATGAGTGAATTCTTGATTTCCACCCTATTCCTAACACTGTCAATTTCTTGATTCATGAACTTAATATGGATAGCTGATATGAATGGATATCTGATTCAATCCAGTAATCTGGGGACAGCCAAAAACCCAATCAAGATTAACTGGGTGGAGCTTCAGAAATGCAATCAGATAGCACTTTTTGATTGGAAGCAAGCACTGGATAGATGGAGGGGTGTGGGTGGGAGTTGTGATTAGAAAGATCGATAAAAGTTTCTGAAGGCCCACAGGAGAGACCCAAAGTCTTCAAGTCTGGAGTTCCTGCTTGGTTCTTCCTGAGGTCTAAGCACTCTGCAAACTCAGTCCAGATCTAGTAAGTCACTCATTTCTGGAAGGACACTCCCATCTGACCTATAGTCAGCCGGTCTGGGACGGGGGCAATGCAGCCTATGATGGCACCGAGCTATATCTGTCTTTTATATATATATATATGAACAATTTGAAGATTTGAATTTTTTCCTCTATATGCAGTTTTGTCTTTATTTCAAAAAATTGGATTGTGCTTTGGTTTATGTCATTTCAAAATTCTTGATGGGAGCAATGACTCATGCCCATAACCTCAACACCTTGGGAGGCCAAAGCGGGAGGATCATTTGAGCCCAGGGGTTTGAGACCAACCTGGGCAACATGGCAAAAATGCAGCTCTACAAAACATTCTTTTTTTGAAGCAGGGATGGAGTCTCACCCTGTTGCCAAGGCTGGAGTGCAGTGGCAAGAGCTCAACTCACTGCAACCTCTTCCTCCCAGGCTCAAACAATTTTCATGTCTCAGCTTCCTGAGTAGCTGGTATTACATCCCTCTGCCACCATGTCTGCTTAATTTTTGTATTTTTAGTAGTGGTGGGGTTTCACCATGCTGGCCAGGTTGGTCTCAAACTCCTGACATCAAGTGATCCTCCTGCCTAGGCCCCCGAAAGTGCTGGAATGACGGCCGTGAGCCAATGGTGGTCAGCCTCTACAAAATATATATATCTTTTAATTTGCCAGGCATGGTAGCATGCATCTGTATTCCCAGCTATTTGGTTTGCTGACATGGGAGAATCACTTGAGCCCAGAAGATTGAGGCTGCAGTGAGCCATGCTCACACCACTGCTGTACTCCAGCCTGGGCAACAGAGTAAGACCCTGCTAAAAACAAAAACGAAAACAAACAAACAAAAAACCTTAACCAAAGAGAATCTTTGACCTTAATTTTAAACCAATCACATCCTCACTGTAATTCTTCCTCCCGAATGGAGACATGGGTGTGAGGGTGCATGCCTGTAATCCCAGCTACGTGGAAGGCTGAAGCATGAGAATTGCTTGAATCTCAGAGGCGGAAGTTACAGTGAGCTGAGATGGAGCCGCTGCACTCCAGCCTGGGCGACAAAGTGAGACTCAGCTTCACCCACACCAAAAAAAATTAGATTATACCACCCAGGTGATCACTGGATACATGAAGATTTCTATTGTGTGTTATTGGGGACTGTCAACTCCGTCTTTGAAAACTGTTTTAACTCTGAAATATTTTGATAAATTTGATGTGGCCAAGGATCCCTCAACAAAGATACTTTCAAGTTTTCTTTCTTTCTGTCTAATATCAGGAAGAGATTCAACACTTCCCTATCTCACACTCAGGACTATGAAGGACACATATTAGTAAACCTCCATGTTTGTGGAGGGAATCAGTGAATGAGTCCTGGACTTTCACCCTATCCCTAAATCTTTCACTTTCATGGATGAATATCTAATTCAATCAGTTAATCTGGAAGAAAGCCAAAAATCCAATCAGGATTAACTGGGTAGAGTTTAAGAAGTCGAATCAAATGTAGTTCTCTCTCTCTCTCTCTCTCTCTCTTTTCTTTTCTTTTTTTTTTTTTTTTTTTTGAATCTAGCCTATTTCACAGGCTGGAGTGCAGTGGTGTATTGTCAGCTCACTGCAACCTCTGCCTCCTGGGTTCAAGTGATCCTCCTGCCTCAGCCTCCCTAGTAGCTTGGACTATAGGCGCAGACCACCGCACCTGGCTAATTTTTCTAATTTTGGTAGAGGTAGGGTTTTACCATGTTGGCCAGGCTGGTCTCAAACTCCTGACCTCAGATAATCCACCTGCCTCTGCCTCCCAGAGGGCTGGGATTACAGGTGTGAGTCACTGCACACAGCCAAAGTGGTTCATTTTGAATATGTGTGAGAGGTGTGTATTGGAAACATCTGTGTCTTGCCAATGATGCATAACACTGTCACATAGCTTTCAAAGCTTCTTGCTGAAATTTTCAATAATGACACCAGGCAGAGGCTCATGCCTGCAATCCCAGCACTTTGGGAGGCCAAAGTGGGTGGATTGTTTGAGTCTAGGAGTTCAAGACCAGCCTGGACAACATAGTGAAACCCACTGTCTTTACAAAAAGTCAAAAAATAAAAGATTAGCTGGGTACGAGATCTGAGCTTCAGAGATCCTCGGTAACATTTGCCAGTGCTATGAGTTTAGTGGATCAGTGGCTAATAATTCATGGACTACGAGGGATCTTGCCTGCTCTTTAGAAGTTGGGACACATTCTTCATGGTACCAGAAGGGTAGAACTATGTCTCTGTGGCCACTTATTGCAGAAAGGAACTGGAGTAAACTGAGGGCTCTTTCACACATGCTAGAGAAATGACTTGGGCCCTGGGAGAATTGGGGGTTGCAGGGGATTGGTCGGAGGAACTTGCCTTTTTGCTGGATTGTGCTGTAGAGTTTTTCCTTGTAGATTTGTCAGAATGAGCCTCCAGACCCCATCCAGACTCCTGGAGCTGGCAGGGCAGAGCCTGATGAGGAAGCAGTTCTTGACTATCTTCACCCTGGACTAGCTGCCCAGGGAGGTCTCCCCTCTGATGTTCATGGAGGCCTTCAGCATGAGATGTTGTGAGGCCCTGAAGCTGATGGTGCAGGCCTGGTCCTCCCTTCACCTCCCTCTGGGATCCCTGATGAAGACAACTCATCTGGAGACCTTGCAAGCTGTGCTGAAGGGACTTGATACACTAGTGTCCCAGAAGGTTTGCCCCAGTTGAGGTGACTCAGGTGGCCTGGTGGGAAGGGTCCAGGCATCCAGGGAAGGGACAGCTGGCTCAGGAGGAGTGGCAGTGTGTGGGAGCTAGGGTGGCTCAGAGGCTTCTGATGGTACCCATGAGAGGCCTTGGCCATTGCCCAGATCCTCTGGAAAAGGACTGCTCACCATACAGAGTCCACTGAGGAAACAGGAACCTGCTTCCTCCCAGTGGAAGGTAAAGGTACTAGAAGTGGGTACCATGCAGAATCCAAGGGGGAACAGGATGGAGAAAAGACAGAAGGAGGAGCACTGGGACAGGAGCAGCTGACTCATGTCCTGGATGTGGAGTGAAAGTTCAGGTCAAGGGTCGGTCCTCGCCTACATTCTGAGCTTTTCCCTTATGTTACTCACAGGAGGTGGAAACTTCAAGTGCTGGATTTGAGGGATGTTGATGAGAATTTCTGGACCATATGGTCTGGAGTCAGGGTCCTCCCCTGCTCCCCAGAGGCCATGAGTAAGAGGCAGACAGTGGAGGACTGTCCAAGGATGGGAGAGTGCCAGCCCTTGAAGGTGTTCATAGACCTCTGCCTGAAGGAAAGTACACTGGATGAATGCCTGAGCTACCTCTGAAGGTGGATCCACTACAGAAGAGGCCTAGTGCACCTGTGTTGTAGTAAGGTGCAGAATTACTCAATGCCCACTTCAAGTTTCAGAAATCTATTGGAAAGGATATACCCAGACAGTATCCAGGAGTTGGAAGTCTGGAAAAAGTGCTCTCTCAATAAAACGGGAAAGTTTGCCCCTTACCTGAGCCAGATGAGCAATCTTCGCAAACTTTTTAGCCTTCGGTTATGAGCCTGAATTATACGTGAGCGGCCAATGGCAGTTCATTCCTGACTTGGATTGGCCATTCCTGTGCCTGTACTACCCCCAGATGCATTATATAAGAAAGGTCAGTAATATCAAAGAGCACCTGGAGCACCTGCTCAGGTAGGAAACGATGGTGGGCTTTCTCTGCAGACCATAACACATAGTTTTGTTCTTTTTCACAGTAAACGTTAGTGGACATCTACTGTGTGCCATCCACTGGGGATGTCACAGGGAATGGGATGCTAGAATGTCAACTCATTAAGCTGTTCAGTTATGTTATGATAAATTTAATTTGATTTTTCTGCAATTCTTTTCTGCATTTTGTAGGAACCTTGCTTTTCCCCCTTTAGTTTGTCAGTATGCTGAATTACACTTAGATTTTCCTGTGATTGGCTGGCATTCCTGGAATGGCCATTATATATCACTATATTGCTTTCTTTTTTTCTTTTTTTTTTCTTTTTAAGGTGGAGTTTCACTCTTTTTGCACAAGCTGAAGTGCAATGGCATGATCTCGACTCACTGCAACTTCCACCTTCTTGGTTCAAGCAAATCTCCAGCCTCAGCCTCCTGAGTTGCTGGGATTACAGGCATGCGCCACCACACCTGGCTAATTTTGTATTTTTAGTAGGGATGGGGTTTCTCCATGTTGGTCAGGCTGGTCTCGAACTCCAGACCTGAGGTGATCCACCTGCCTCGGCCTCTCAAAGTGCTGGGATTGCAGGCGTGAGCCACGGAGCCTGGCCTGTCTATCACTTTCTAATGCAGTGTTGCATTTAGTTAACTGATAATTTATTAAGTACTTTTTTCTGGCTGACCGTGGTGGCTCATGCCTGTAATCCCAGCACTTTGGGAGGCCGAGGCAAGTGGATCACCTGAGGTCAGGAGTTCTAGCCAACACAGAGAAATTCTGCCTCTTCTAAAACTACATAAATTAGCTGGATGTGGTGGCATGTGGCTCTAATCCCAGCTACTAGAGAGGCTGAGGCAGGAGAATTGCTCGAATCTGGGAGTAAGAGGTTGCAGTGAGGTGAGATTGTGCCACTGCACTCCAGCCTGCATGACAGAGTGAGTCTCTGTCTCAAAAAAAAAAAAAAAGAAAGAAAAAAGAAAAAAAACTTTTGCCAAATAAGTTTAAATTTACTTTCCTTCTAATATCCTTAGCCATTTTTAAAATATGGGTTACTGCTCTCTTATGAAATGAATTAGACAACTTTCCATATTTGCCTTTCTTTCTGGAACATCTTGTACAAAACAGAAAATACCGGCCAGGTGCAGTGGCTCATGCCTGCAATCCTAGCACTTTGGGAGACTAAGGCAGGCGGATCACTAGCTTCCAATCAAAAAGTGATATCTGATTGCATTTCTGAAGCTCCACCCAGTTAATCCTGATTGGGTTTTTGGCTCTCCCCAGATTAATGGATTGAATCAGATATCCATTCATATCAGATATCCATATTAATTGCATGAATCAGGAAATTGACAGTGTTAGGGATAGGGTAGAAGTCAAGAATTCACTCATTCAAGGCCGGGTGAGGCAGCTCACGCCTGTAATCCTTCCAGAAGGACTTCCCTGTACTGGTTTAGGCTTTGCATACCCTGTCTTTCATTTGGGTCCCACTGGGGGTCTGTTCCTGCTAGTTGGATCCTCACATACCCTCGGGGATTTTGTAATCAGCTGGAACATGTTCTTCCAGCCACTTAGTTGCCACTTGGAGCACTCTCCACCTTTCATCTGTGTTAAAGAGGTGCATGAGCACCTGGTGGCAATCAGCCCAGGTGGGGTTGTGGGTCTGGATAACAGTTTGGAGCAAATAAATTATAGCTTGAGGCTTTTCGGTATAGGATGGGGTATTGTTTTCCAATGGAGGAGATGGGCAGAGGTGAAGGGTTGGTACACAAAGGCACGTCTTTCCACCATAAGCCCATCCTCGTCTACTCCAGTATACTGTTGCTCTCTCAGGGACATTTGTATCCCAGTTCTAGGCCTCATACGGGCAGCCAAGGGAGGGTCTTGCATCCTGAGGTCTTGCACCCTTTCTTCTCTACTCTGGGCAGCCTAGGGGTATGTAGGCCTTGTGGAAGCTTGGGCGCAGTGGGCTCAGGAGTGGGAGGCCTTCCTTCTTGGTGAAAGGGGGGGGCACTGGCACAGTGTCTTGCCAGTGTTCCTTTGCTTAGTTTCTTTTTTTAACTGTTGTTTGTGATTTTCCATCTTCCTGAGACCAACCACTACTTGCTGGACCTTCTGAATTGGGAAAGAATGGAAAGTCTGTCAGCCAGTTTTTTCCAACATTTAGGTTGTTGAACTGCTTAGGGGATCCTCTGAGCCTCTCACCTGAGGGGTCTGCCAATCATTTGTTGTCTGAACATGGGCAGATTCCTCTTGCTAGCCAAATCTCAGGGTCACCAACATGCTTTAGATTATTTGTGAGGGAGAGCTGAGATCTTGGATGAATGATACCAGCCCCTGCTGTGCCTCGTGGATGCTCAGTCACCAGAGACACTCACGATCACCCTTGGTGCTGAGCTCAACCTCAGCCTCAGGCTCACAAAGTGAGGGCAGGCAAAGTAGAAGCCCCACTGAACACATTTCAGTTTAACTCAATTGCACACATAGCAGGGCATTGACAGTGAGGTCAGAAATGTGGAGAAAGAACATTTACAGAAACATTTCAAGATAGAGAACACCCTTCAAAGTACTCCAGTTTTGGAGGCCAGTGGCATCTCAGAGCTGTTTGGTTTTCATATAGAATGGGAGAGAAAGGCCTGGAGGACTTTCTGGAGGCAGGGGAGGTTCTTGCTACTTTGTGCCCTAAAACATCGGAAGAATCACTGTGTGATCCCTCTTAGGATGGGAGCCATCCGTGAACTTAGCAGATATTTCAACATGAAATAGAGCTTCCAGGTTTTGTGGGGGAAATGTATTTTAGGTGTGCACCCAATATAACAGTATATATGCGCTGCTCTTAAAGACAAGAAGGCTCGCTCTTTTTCTTTCTTTCTTTCTTTCTTTCTTTCTTTCTTTCTTTCTTTCTTTCTTTCTTCTTTCTTTCTTTTTCTTTCCTTCCTTCTTTCCTTCTTTTTCTTTCTTTCTTTCTTTTTCTTACTTTCTTTCTTCTTTCTTTTTCTTTCTTTCCACCTTTCTTTCTGTTTCCTTCTGTCTTTTTCTCTCCCCTCCCTCCCTCCCTCCCTCCCTTCCTTCCTTCTTTCCTTCCTTTTTTTTGAGGCAAGGTTTCATTCTGTTGAGCAGGCTGGAGTGCAGTGGCACAATGATGGCTCACTGCAGTCTCAACCTCCTGGGCTCAGGTGATCCTCGCATCTAAACTTCTTGGGCAGCTGGGACTACAGGTGCACACCACCATGCCTGGCTAATTTTTCGTATATAGTTTTTATAGACAGAATTTTCCATGTTGCCCAGGCAGGTCTCAAACTCCTGCGCTCAAGTAATCTATCTGCCTTGGCCTCCCAAAGTGCTGAAATTAGAGATATGAGCCACCACACATGGCCTGAGTTTTCTTTGTATACCTAATGGTATCACTTTAATCAGAATCTCTCTGTTCAATATCAGGGACAAGGGAGGACTTTAAGG
Organism: Homo sapiens; assembly: GCF_000001405.40. NCBI lineage: Eukaryota > Metazoa > Chordata > Mammalia > Primates > Hominidae > Homo > Homo sapiens. Next base: position 46,477 of record NT_187517.1, on the reverse strand, counting down.
ATGGCAGAACATTAATTATCAAAATATGCTGGGGAATGGCACGAGGGTATTGATGAGGATGAGGGGCCCTGGGAAACACCTGTGGGTGAGGGTTGCTGGGAAATGTCCCACTGTGGGAAGATCCCTGAGTCTAAAAGAAAGGTTTCCAGACCATAGCACCATGACAGAGACTTGGACCCTTGTTCACTTTCTCCCACATCCTGCAAAACCCACAGCTCCCACCTTCGATGGCTTCCAGGTTGGGAAAGTCTCCCTTCCCAGGTCTGGCCACACTGCTTCTCTCTGGCATCTGCCCCAGCTCAGATTCTCAGATTCCATCTTCCCAGGCTGATTTTCTGAGGCGAGCCCATCATTTTTGGGAGTAAACACGCTTTCCCTTCTAGTAGGGGCCAAGACTGTTTCTGCCTTCTCTGCCCTCAAAGACAATGTTGTGTTTGAAGAGTCTGCACTGTCTCTTCTGTAACTATTCCCTTTTTAATTTTTAAACTCAATCCAGACAGAGTCTTTCAATCCTTCTGTGGAGATGCCCACAAAATACCCACCATGTTTTATGCTGTCTTGGTTCCTTCCCAGGGTTCTACTAGAACACCCGGTCCCATCCTGCCCAGCCCCCACCTCACTTTGTCATTCTGTCCTGATTTCCTGCAGTGAAGCCTTGACCTTAGTCTTGTGATCAATAACACCCTCAGTGGTTCCCCTCTTCAACCTGAACCCACATATGACCTGCCCCGTTAGGAAGCATAAAACCCAGGTAACTGTTGGATAACAGAGCTTTGTATTCTGTTTTCTTAGGGTTGACATCACCGTCTTTTTAAAGCTGTCTTAGCTCTGAAACGTTTGGATAATTTCAATGTGGCCAAATATTCTCCCATAAAGATATCATCAGGTTTTGTTTTTTCTTTCTAATGCCAGGAACAGATTAAACCTTCCATGTCACTATGAAGGTCACATGTTAGTCAAACTTCATCAGTGTTTGGGGAATAAATGAATTAATGACTTTTGGACTTTCACCCTGTTATTTATTCTTTCACTTTCATAAATGCACATCTAATTTAATCAATGAATCAGAAGAAAGTGTGAAACTCAATCAGGATTAACTGGGTGGAACTTCAGGATCTAATCAGGTATCACTTTCTGATTGGAAGCTGGTGATTGAGAAGGGGAGGGTGTGGTTAGAAACATCAACAAAAGCTCCTGAGTTTGCACAGGACAGACCCAAAGCCCTGGTGCCTGGAGCTACTGCTTGGTTCTCTGAGAGGTCCCAGCACCCTGCAAACTGAGTCCAGATCTGGTAAGTCACCACCTTCTTAGGAACATGCCCGTCTAATCTGCAGCCAGCCAGTCAGGGATGGTGACACACAGCCCAAAATGGCACAGAGAATTTCCTGTCTGTTTTTTCAGATTAAACAGATGTAGGTTTTGATTTTTCCTCCAAATATAGTTTTGACTTCATCCCTCAAATTTTGATTTGTGCTTCATTTTCCTCATTTCAAAATTCTTATTGAAGCAGTTTTTAAAAAAAAAAATATTAAAAATTTACAGTTGGATGGATGTTTATGTCTTGACATGTGAAGTTGTTGGTTTCTGTGCCTGTCAGCTATAGTTCACACACTTAGCGGTATTGTGATTTTATTAGTCAGGCTTTCATTTTACAGAAATCTTAGATCTCCCGTACACCATTCTCAAGAGACTTGTTCCGAACCTGGGATTTATCTCTTCCCTTAGACTCTGTCCCTAAGTGTGTGATTGTGAGTATGTGGAAGGGATGTGTATTGGATCCTTCTCCTCAGACTTAGTGTTTCCATTTCTACCTTCCAAGTGCTCTAGACTACTGCAACACTGCTTTTATAATTTCTCTTACAGTTTTTCAAAATAAAAACACACACCTTGGACTCCCAAAGTGCTGGGATTACAGGAGTGAGCCACTGTGCCTCATCTAGAGTTAGTATTTCTATCCCTACCTTCCAAATGCTCTAGAATACCATCACGTCGCTTTTAGTTTCTGGTTAATTCTTTTCTCTTGTTCTGAGATGGAGTCTCACTCTGTCACCCAGGCTGAAGGGCAGGGTGTTGAGTTCAGCTCACTGAAAACACTGCCTCCGGGATTCAAGTGATTCTTCTTCCTCTGCCTCCAGAGTAGCTAGGATTATAGGACTGCACCACCACACCTGGCTAACATTTTAATTAATTAATTATTATTATTATTATTATTATTATTATTATTATTTGAGACAGAGTCTAACTCTTTTGTCCAGACTGGAGTGCAGTGGTGGGATCTCGGCTCACTGCAACCTCTGCCTTTTGGAGTCAAATGATTTTTAATTTTTTTATATTTAGTAGAGACAGAGTTCATTACGTAAGCCAGGCTGTTCTCGAACTCCTAACCTCAAGTGATCTGCCTGTTTTGGCCTCCCACAGTGCTGGGATTACAGACATGAGCCACAGCACCCGGTCAGTTTCTGGTTGAAATTTTTCAAAATAAAAAATAATGGCATTGACTTTAGGGAGTCCCTTTAGTGTTCCCCCAGCATGTTCATGGTGAAAACTGAGAATGGAGGCTGTCTGGGGCCACAGGACACTCTCATTCTCATTGCTTTAGGGCGGTAAGTGACAAGAAAATTTTCCTCAAAGAGGTAGAGCTTGGCTTTCAGGATCCTCAGTGACACTTTCCAGTGGTACTGGGATTCAGTGGAGCCATGGATGAAAATTAATGGGCCAGTGGTCTCTTTGACCCCTCCCTCCTTGGTGTTTGGAAGACATTCTTCCTGGTACCAGCAGAAGCAGAAATATAGATTTGTGGCCACCAAGTGCAGAGTGGAATTGGGGTAAAGTGGTAATTTTTCTACCTCTACCAGAGCAATGCTATTGGCCTTAGGAGAAGATGAGGTGATTGTGTTTGGCCTGAAAGTGATGCCTTTTCTCTGGATTTGTCTTCTAGAGTTTTTCCTTACAGATTCATCAGGATGAGCATCCAGGCCCCACCCAGACTCCTGGAGCTGGCGGGGCAGAGTCTGCTGAGAGACAAGCCCTTGGCCATCTCTGCCCTGGAGGAGCTGCCCAGGGAGCTCTACCTCCCACTCTTCCTGGAGGCCTTCAGCAGGAGACACTTCCAGACTCTGACAGTGATGGTGCAGGCCTGGCCCTTCACCCGCCTCCCTCTGGGATCGCTGATGAAGACGCTTCATCTGGAGACCTTAAAAGCATTGCTGGAAGGGCTTCACATGCTGCTTACACAGAAGGATCGCCCCAGGTGAGGTGACCCAGGAAGGCTGGTAGATGGGGCTCAGGTGTCCAGGGAAAGAACAGCAGGGTCAGGCAAAGAAGTATCCCAAGGATGGCCCAGTGTCTTCTGGTGGTGCTGGTGACGAAGCTCAGGCATGCCTTGGCCATTGCCCAGATCCTCAGGGAAAGAACTGCCCACAATGTAGGGTCCACTGTGGGAACAGAAACTTGCCTATTCCCAGTGGAAGGTAAATGGAATAGAAGTGGGGACCAGTCAGAATTGAAAGAGAAAAGGGACCAAGAAAACTCAGAGAGAACAGGGAGCAGCGAGGACAGGAGCAGCTGATTTATTGGATGAGAATGAAAGCAAAGGTCAGGGATTTGTCCTTCAAAGTTCTGAGCCTCTGCCTTACTTTACCCACAGGAGGTGGAAACTTCAAGTGCTGGATTTGCGGGATGTTGATGAGAATTTCTGGGCCATATGGTCTGAATCCAGGGCCCTGTCCTCCTCCCCAGAGGCCATGAGTAAGAGGCAGACAGCAGAGGACTGTCCAAGGATGGGAGAGCACCAGCCCTTGAAGGTGTTCATAGACATCTGCCTCAAGGAAATACCCCAGGATGAATGCCTGAGATACCTCTTCCGGTGGGTTTACCAAAGGAGAGGTTTAGTACACCTGTGCTGTAGTAAGTTGGTGAATTATCTAACGTCGATTGAATATCTCAGAAGATCATTGAAAATAATCCACCTGAATAGTATTCAGGAGCTGGAAATTTGCTATGTGTCCTGGCCACATCTGATAAGAAAGCTTCATTGTTACCTGAAGGAGATGAAGAATCTTCGCAAACTCATTTTTCTCCAGGTGCCATCCTTACACGTCAATTACCGCGAGGAATGCTCAGTCGCCAAAATCAGCTCTATGTTCCTCAGGCTGAAACACCTCCAGCTGCTTAAAATGAATATGGTCACCTTCCACAGAGGGCACCTGGGACAGCTGATCAGGTGAGAAAGGATCGTGCCCTTTCTCTGCAGACCACAGCGCAGCCTTTTTTTTTTGTTACAGTAAACACTAGAAGACGTGTACTGTGTGCCAGCCAGTGGCGACGGCACAGTGCAGGGAACACCAGAATGTCAACACATTGTCCCGTTCAGTGCTCCATGTCCTGGAGTGGCTATCACAGGATCACTTCAATAAAGGCAGAGGGGTCACCTAGGGTAGAGGCTAGAGAGGGACATCATGTACAAGGTACTTAGTGGGCGTTTTGTCTCTACTGCATGTGCACGTGTGAATTTCTTGTTACAAAGTGTGTTTCAAGTTGATATGATGTAAAAGAGGTAACAAAGGAGGGTATGAAAGGAGGGACAGTGCATCAAACTTGTGCATTTCACAGTAGAAGCTCTGTCCTCACCAGCTTAGTGATCATGAATGATCCTGTCTCTGATTCCCTGTCTGTAGAAGGTTGTTTTGAACTCCAGGAAAGTCAATTGACATGGGACATGCATGCTTCTGGGATGGAGGGTGAAGGAGTAGGAGTGAGAGTGGTAAAAAGTGACAGTTGGTTTGCAGATGCAGGCAGGCCAGGGAGCCCCTGCCGGCAGGTAGCCCCAGCTAATGTCCCTAGACCTTGCTGAGTTGAGTTCTTTGTGCACATCTCCCACCGGGTACCTGTGGCCCAGAGATGAGGTTTTCTGCTAAAAGATGAAGATAAAAGGCTTTAGAGATTTTGTGGCCTTGACCCAATCACACAAGAAATGGTGAAAGGGCTGAGGCTAAAATGGGACAGCCCCTGAATGATCAGGGTCCTCAACATGCAGCAACTTGCATGAGGACCATCATCAGATGGTGGGAACAAACTTGTGTTTGGTTGAAGCAGGTATTTTCCTTGAGTTCATTCCCCACTACCTTCATCTAACTGGTACCATTGCCCAGAACTAACTTCTTGATCTCCACAGGTGCCTCTAGAACCCCTTGGAGAACTTGGAATTAACTTGCGGCTACCTATTGGAAGAGGACTTGAAGTGTCTCTACCAGTACCCAAGCCTCGCTTACCCAAAGCATCTGAATCTCAGCTACATGCTGCAGTTCTGTATCAGTCTTGAACCCCTCGGAGCTCTGCTGGAGAAAGTTTCTGCCAACACGAGGGTCTCGAGAGAGGCAGCAATTACTCTTAAGACCCTCATCTCGGAGGGCTGTCAGATCCACTACTCCCAACTCAGTGCCATCCTGCCTGGCCTGAGCCGCTGCTCCCAGCTCACCACCTTCTACTTTGGCAGAAATTGCATGTCTATGGAAGCCCTGAAGGACCTGCTGTGCCACACCAGTGGGCTGAGCAAGTTAAGCCTGGAGATGTATCCTGCCCCCGAGGAGAGTTTGAATTCCTTGGTTCATGTCGATTGGGAGATCTTCACCCCACTTCGGGCTTAGTTGATGTGTACACTAAGGGAAGTCAGGCAGCCCAAGAGGATCTTCATTGGCCCCGCCCCCTGCCCGTCCTGTGGCTCATCACCGTCTGAGGAACTGGAGCTCCATCTTTGCTGCTAGGGAAGGCGTGCCTAGCGGGGTAGAGAAATCCAATGTTCTCTTCTAGGCCCTTGGACACTAAAATCTAGTATGTAGGTGCAAGTTATTTTCCTCTTTTCTTATTTCCTTTTTTAATAATTCCAATATTTTTATTACAAAAAAATTGAGAAAGTGTTTCACTATGTTGCCCCAGCAGGTCTCAAACTGCTGGTCGCATGGGATTCTCCTGCCTCGGCCTTCTAAAGTGCTGGGATTACAGGCATGAGCGACTGTGCCCAGGCCACATGTGCAACTTAAAGGAAGCACAGAGCTCTGTTTCAGACAGGTGCTCAGTGCGAGGGAAAAAATCCTAAGAGCAGGGGGCAAGACTTGAGGAAAATATTGAGGTGGAGTCAATGAGAGCTACAGAGTCAGAAAGAGAAACTAAAATTCTTCAGTGATGAGAATGTTATCCCTGCAAGGATGATTACCAAGAAATATCAGAAATAGAGAACCTCAGTGAAAACCTTCTGGTGTCCTCTGTAATAGATTTACTTGTTTTAGGGATTTATACATCAGAAATCTCTAGTTATTGAGTTACTGATGGAAAAATAACGAGGCACTAGTTTGTCTGTGATTGAGGTTCAGCTGCGGAACATCATAGCAGCCAAATAAAATTAGACCATTTTGAGTAATTCCCACCCATTCTTGTTCTTTTATTTCATTATTTATTTTTTTATTTTTGGAGACAAAAATATTGCTTTGTCATTCAGGCTGGAGTGTAGTGGTGCAATCTGGGATCACTGGAATCCTTTCCTGTGGGGCTCAAGTGATTCTCGTGCCTCAACCACTCAAGTAGCTGGGAGTACAGGCACGTGCCACCAAGCCTGCTAATTTTTGTATTTTTCGTAGAGACAGGGTTTTACCCTGTTCACCAGGCTGGTCTTGAGTTCCTGGCTTTGAGTGATCCGCCAACCTTGGCCTCCCAAAGTGCTGGGATTACAGGTGTGCGAATGGTCTGCACCCATCCTTTACTTCTCTTTAGTCATCTGTTTTTTCATACTTTTTCGACTGTGGGGAGCAGCTCGGTCGGGCACAAAGGCACAGGCAGAAAGAGGCCATGAGGAGAAGATGGGCTTGGGGTGGTGCCGTGCTTGCACATGAAGTGTGGTTGTCAGGTTCCAAAGGCAGAGCTGGGGCCATGCTCCAGGGCCCCGAGTTGGGAAGCAGAAATGGCACCAAGTTCAATGACCTGGCCAGCTATGCATCAACTGTGTGCCCACCCTGCTAATAGTATCAAGTTCCTAGGTCTAAAAAGGAGTTCTGTGTGAATCTTCCTGAGGCTGCATTTCCAAGATCTGCCCCCAAGAGGGGTGAACACAGAGCCTGATGCTTCCGATTGCTGGGCCTGTGGACCACGATCCACTCCTAAAGGCACCACCTCTTGGCTGGGTTGTCAGCCAGGCCTGTGCCCCATGTCCCTGAGGCAGCCAACTGTGCCACCCATACCCTCTCACGGCTAAACGGGACTTGCCCCTAGGTCCGCAGTCTCCACCACAGCCTCGACCTCACTCCCCACTTTGTGCTGTTAGCCTGCAAACTCCTGGATCAGAGCGCAGTTGGGGCTCATTAAACCGGACCCAGGAGCTTCAGATTTGTTTCTGTGGGGTTGACCAGAGCTGCTGTGAACCTGCATCTCACCTGTCACCTCTGCACGGAAACAGAGAGAGGGCAAAGCTGAGGCTGTGCACACTTTGGAGCTGATGGGATCCTGGGACAAGAGGGAGTCCTGGTCCTCCCAAGTCGGCAGGGCCGTAGCTCCAAAGGCACAACTGAAGCTGCCCAGGTTGCAGTTACCAAACAAGGTCCCCTAGTGCTCTCGAGGGCCCAGGAGGTCCCCCCTTCCCCATTCTATTGCTCAATAAAGGTCCTCTTTATCTTGCTCACTCTCCACTTGTCTGCATATTTCATTCTTCCTGGTTGCAGGACAAGACCCGCCTAATGGTGGGGCTAAAAGCAGTAACACAAACAAAGCTGAAACATGCCCCTTGCTCACCAAGTTGTAGGTGAAGAGAAAAAGAGAAGAGCTACTACTCTTTTCAGGAGCCCAGACGTGGGAGCTTCCTGAGCCAGGGCTGTGATTCCCTTTTTGTGGTTCTGCAGTTCCCAGCACTTCCAAGAAGGCCCATAATGGCAGTTAATGCTATAAAGGGGAGGTAGAGGAACCTGTGGAAGGAAAAAAAAAAATGGTGGGGCTGAGATGGAGGGCCTGGGTCCACCCACAGACGAAAGTCCCTTCCTAGCAGACCCTGCACTGGGCCCCAGGGATCCTGGCGTCCCTGGTTCACACCCACGCTGCATATCGCACCTATGGGGGGCACCCCAAAGCTTCTAGCAAGCCCAGAAAGGAAGACAAGACGTGAAAGGGGAGGTAGAGGCACCTGTGGAGGAAAAAAATGGGCACCGTAGAGGAGGGGTGCTTGGGTCCCCCCACAGAAGAATGTGCCTTCCCAGCAGCCCCTACGGAGTCCCCGGGATTTCTGGCATCCCTGGATCACACCCACGTTGCCTGTCATGGTGGTGGGGGCACCCGGAAGGGGCAAGAAAGCCCAGAAGGGAAGATAAGGTTTGAAAGGGGAGGTAGAGGCACCTGTGGAAGGAAAAAAATGGCGCAGTCGAGAAGGGGGGCCTGGGTCAACCCACGGATGAAAGTGCCCTCCCAGCAGACCCTGCACAGGGCCCGGGGGATCCTGGCATCCCTGGTTCACACCCACAGTGCGTGTTGCACCTGCGGGAGGCACCCCAAAGCATCAAGAAGGCCCAGAATGGAAGAGAAGGCTTGAAGCTTAAAGTAGAAGCACCTGTGGAAGGAATAAAAAACGGCACGGCAGAGGAGGTGGGCATGGGTCCCCCCATGGATGAAAGTGACTTCCCAGCAGCTCCTGAGCTTGGTCCTGGGGATACTGGTGTCCCTGGTTCGCCCCAACGATGCCTGTCCCTCCCACTGGGGGGAAACCCAAAGCAGCAACAGGCACTAGTGGAAGGTAAAAAATACGTGCGGCAGAGGAGGGGGGCCTGTGTCCCCGCATGGACTAAAGTGCCTTCCCAGCAGCACTTGCACAGGGCTCCGGGGTTAGTTCCATCCCTGATTCACACCCAAGGTGCATGTCACACCCATGGGGGGCACCCCAAAGTGGTAAGAAGTCCCAGGATGGAAGATAAGGCTAGAAAGGGGAGGTAGAGACACCTGTGGAAGAAAAAAAATGGCGAGGCAGAGAAGGGGTGCCTGGGTCCCCCCACAGATGAAAGTGCCCTCCCAGCAGACCCTGCACAGGGCCCTGGTGATCCTGGCGTCCCTGGTGCTCACCCACGGTGCATGTCACACTCGCGGTTTTACCCCAATGGGGCAAGAAGGCCCAGAAAGGATGATAAGGCTTGAAAGGGGAGGTAGAGGCACCTGTGGAAGGAAAAAAAAAAGGGAACAGCGGAGGTTCAGGCCGGGGTACCTCCTTGGACAAAAGTGCCTTCCCAGCAGCCCCTGGGTGGGGCCCCGTGGATCCTGACATCCCTGGTTCGCCCCCTTGGTAAGTGTCAATGACCTCATGGTATGTGTGTGTGTATATATATATATATATATATATATATATATATACATGTGTGTGGTGTGAGCACCTAGAAAGTGACAACTCTCCAGGACAGAGCTGGCCTCACAGATTAACATGGTCTTTCACTTGGCAGGGAAAAGTAAAACGCCTCGTGTCCCTGGCTGGGCAACCCCCTCAGGAGTCCAGCAAGAAGACATGGGATCTGTGGACAGGAGGCTACTGGGCGAAACCTCTCATTGAGGATTATGTTAAAATTTGCACTTGAGACGCTGAGTGCCCTATGTCCTTCCCACTCACCAAAGAACCCCAGCTGAGCCAGCCCTGACTCCCAGACACAAGAGCCCAGGGAGAAGCTGGGAGAGAGGGAGACCCGCTGTGACCTCAGGGCATGGAAGGAGCCCTGACCTTTTTCTCCATGATGCCTTCCCCACTCCCAAGTGCCTCTGGCCTGAAGCTTCCAGGGACCCCTGCATTCCATCCATGCCCTCCTCTGCTCCCTCCAACCCAGCCTTTTCTAAAGCCCCATGCATTTGTCTCCATGAGAGTGCCCCAGTCTCAGGCGCTCACAGTGCCTCAGAAGCTCGGGGTCCCTGTGCCTGCCTGGAGGCAGTCTCACTCTATGTGGCCCCATGTGTGTTCTTGGATTTCTTTCTACACAAGGTCACCTGTAGGTGTACAGTAGACACATCACTTGTAGAAGAGCCAATGGGGATGGGTGAGGACCAGGAACCCTCTCAGGCACACACATGGAAAGAGAGAGAAGTGTTCCTGGAAGCACAGGCCTGGGGGTGGGTGCTAGCCCCCTGTGTCTCCTCTAATCAAAGAGGTCAGCGACTTTGGCCACAGAATACACACCCACTTCCCATGGGTTCACATCCAAAGAACAAACTCCTTCAGACTCCCTGGTCCATGCACTCGAGATCCCCAGGGTGTCTTGAGTTTTTATCCCAGAAGGAGAGAGAAACAAGCTTTCATCAGCTAAACAAGACCACTACTAATACTAATGTAGGTATTGACACTAATACTAGTACTACTACTAATACAAGTGCTAACACTACCAAAAGTACTGTACTAATATGAATATCAACAGGGATTTTTTTTTCTAGCTGCTCAAGGAAATGTGTGGAGTCATCCCCTATTTTCTTTTTATTGGAGCCACTGTGTCAGTGGCGACAGTGGTTAGGAGCCTCCTTTGGGTAAAAACGAGGTAACTTCAGCCCCTGCTTGCTCCACTGTCTGCCTCTCCAGGGCCTCTGTGTCCTGCTGCAGAGTCTAGCCTGTTCTTCACAGGCACACATTCCTTATGGCACAGAGACACACCAATAAAAAAAGTCCTGAGAGAAAGGAAGGAATGGCACCTGCAAGAGACCTCACACTGATGGACCTCAGAGATATTCGTGGCCTGAGGAACACAGAGGAGAATGTGTGGGGAGCAGATCCCCACTGAGAAAGAAGCAGGACAGCTGGGCGCAGTGGCTCACACCTGTAATCCCAGGACTTTGGGAGGCTGAGGCATGTGGATCATGAGGTTAGGAATTTGAGACCAGCCTGGCCAATATGGTGAAACCTCATCTCTAGTAAAAATAGAAGAATTAGCTGGGTGTGGTGTTGTGCCTGTAGTCCCAGCTACTTGGGAGGCTGAGGCAGGAGAATTGCTTGAACTGAGGAAGCAGAGGTTTCAGTGAACAATAGGAAAACAGTATTACAAGGAAAACTACTAGTCCTAAGATTTCTAACTATGTTTATTTGCTTGATGAGTCCTCAAGCTTCGGCCGTGCGTAGACTAGTCAGCTTCCAGTGTGTGACTAGAGCAGGGCTTGTTGTCTCCTCAACCTTCAGCTGTACGTAGACTGGTCAGCTTCTGGAGTGACCAGAGCAGGGCAGTCATCTTTAGCATCAGCTTGGTCTCATCTCAGGACCAGCTGTGTCTCATCTCAGGATCAGGTGGGTGATCTGGGTCCTGCTGGCTGGTCCACTTGTCCTGAGCTTCGGTTTCAGCCAGCTGTGGTGGATCCAAGGCACAACACCTGCAACTTTAACAGCAGAGGGAGTACACAAGATTACAGTATAGGGCTGGGTGTGTTGGCTCATGCCTGTAATCCCAGCACTTTCAGAGCCCGAGGCGGGTGGATCACGAGGTTGGGAGATGGAGAGCATCCTGGCTAACACGGTGAAACCTCATCTCTATTAAAAAAAAAAATACAAAAATTACCCACGCATGGTGGCGGGCACCTGTAGTCCCAGCTACCTGGGAGGCTGAGGCAAGAGAATGGTGCGACCCCCAGGAGGCAGAGCTTGCAGTGAGCTGAGATCATACCACTGCACTCCAGCCTGGGGGACAGAGCAAGACTCTGCATCAAAAAAAAAAAAAAAGGTTACAGTATAGGGCCCATCCCATATGGGTCCTAGAGAATTTAATTCAACTTTTTAACTCAGAGTCACTAGGTTTAAAGGGGTGTGTCTGGTCTGTCAGGCTTACAGGCATTCTTTCCTGTACCCACCCATGGACACTTTGCAAGTCTGTCCCTAATGCCTGCATTTGCTTTCTTAAGGTTAATTCTCTTAGTTCAAGGAGATAACCTTTAATTTGACTTATGACTGGGGGAGGCTGACTGAACAAAATCTCATAGGGCAAATACCCAGTTTGTTTGGTGAGGGTGCACCTGACTCAGAGGAGGACCATAGGCAAGACCTGATCCCATCTCAGATAGGTTTCCTGGAAATATTTCTTCAGAAGCTCCTTGAGTGTCTGGTTCATGCATTCCACTTTTTCTGAACTTTGCGGCTGATAGGCTGTGTGTAACTTCCATTTTATTTTTAACAGTCTTGTTAAATCTTGCACTATTTCAGCTACAAATGCCGTGCAATTAACGGACCCTAAAGTTAGAGGCAGTCCAAGCATGGGGATGATGTCTCTTAGCAGTACTTTAGTCACTTCTCATGCTTTTTCTGTTCTGGTGGGGAAAGCTTCAACCCATCCTGAAAAGGTGTAAATAAGCACCAGCATATACTGATAGCCTCTGGCATGGGGTAGTTTGGTAAAGTCTACAAGAAAGTTTTCACAAGGCATGGTTCCTACTTCCTGAATTCTTGGGGGTTGAGTGGGCCCCTGTCACGGGTTGTTCTGAGCACAGGTTAAACATTGTTTACAAACAGCTCAAATGATGGCCACGGCACATAGAAACAGCATTTCAGTAATGTTTCCAGTGCCATTTTTTCCCATATGAGTTCCTAGATAAATTTGCTTCAGAAACGTAGGAGCTAACATTTCTGGAATGGCTAATGTCCCATTGAAGAATTTCCACCACCCTCCTTTAATATATTTTCCAGCTTCTTGAGCAAACCAGGCTCTTTCATTTGGAGTAGAACTTGGATCTTCTTGGAGAGGAGCTTCTGGGAGGAGAAGCATAGCTAAGGCTTCCTCTTTAAAATGTGATGCAATCATTGCTCCCCTCTTTGCCTCTCTGTCTGCCTTTCTGTTTCTTTTGGTTTTTGGTGTCCCTGACTTTTGGTGCCATCTGCAGTGCATTAAAGCTACTTTTCCTGGAGGCCATACAGCCTCTAAGAGCTGTAGAATCTCTTCTTTGTACTTGATTTCTTTGCCTCCAGCTGTTAAAAGCCCTTTCTCTTTGTCTATAACTTCATGTACATGCAATGTAGTAAAAGCATACTTAGAATCAGTGTAAATATTGACCTTCTTCTCTTTTGCTAGAAACAGTGCTCTTGTCAGGGCTATTAATTCTGCCTTTTGAGCTCATGTTCCAGTAGGCAGAGGCAGAGCATCTACTACTAAGTCCAATGTTATTACTGCATACCTGGCATCTTGAACCCCTTCTAGCACAAAACTACTTCCATCTGTGAAGTATTCAAAAGCCGGGTCTCTGAGGTCTGTCTGCAAGATCTTTCCGACTGGAGAACACCTCATCTACTGTTGCAACACAGTCATGGAGGGGAGCCCCCGGTTAGACTGGGAGCAGAGGAGCCAGGTTTAAGGTGTTCACTGTTTCTAAAATAATGTAAGGGTTCTCACAAGGAAGACCTGAGTCATTTTTGGGTTTGATAACCAAAGATGCCCTCTTTGGTCCATCAAAGTTATAACTGAGTGTGGCACCCGCACAGTTAGCTGCTGTCCCAGAGTTAATTTGCTAGCTTCTTGTGTTAACAAGATGGTGGCAGCTAATGCCTTAAGGCAAGGAGACCATCCTAGCACCACAGAGTCCAGTTGTTTGTATAAATACGCCACTGGGCAATGCCATGATGCTATAATTTGAGTCAGAACCCCTATAACCATTCCTTTTCATTCATGAATACATAGAAAGAGAGGCTTAATTATATCTGGTAGTCCTAAGGTTGGGCCTGACCTAAAGCTTCCTTGAGCTGTTTGAATGCTATTTCCTGATTAGTTTCCCAAAGGAGGGGCTCTTTTTCTCCGATTTTGTGGCTTCATATAATGTCTTAGCCATCACTGAAAAATTTGGAATCCAGATGTGGCAGAATCCTGCTGCCCCTAAAGGAAGGGGGCCAGCCCCTCCACACCTGTGGGTATACCTCATCAAGTGGGGTGAGAGACTGAGAAAAGAAATAAGACACAGAGACAAAGTGTAGAGAGAGAACAGCGGGCTTCTAGCCAGCAGAGAGTTGCCTGTGTTACTCTCCGACACTCCTCAGTGTTAAACAGTGGGAGAAAAAACTGCCTGCAGTCTGGCCAGGTTGGATTGTGTGTCAGAAAGATGGATTGCATCAGATCTATAAGAGCTTGGGGCTTTGCCATATAGGAGGGAGTATGGTGTTTCCAGTTCAAGAGATCAATGGTTGAAAAGGGATGATAGATGAAAGTCCATTCCCCCCACCTGACTTGGCCTTGGTCATCATAATAAATGGGTCCTCCCATCTCCCTGAGATGCATTTGCATAACTCAAGCATGGCTAGATCTGAGATGGCCGGCTTAACCATCTTGACTTCCTTCCCTGGCCTCTCAAGCCTCTGATCCTTCCTTTGGGGTGAGACTTTGGGTGTGCTAGCTCCTGAATCTGGTTCCTGGGGGACTGTTGGCCTCGGTAAAGAAGGCTAGGCTGGGACATATGGAGTAGGAATCTCTATTCCCTCTGGTGGATCCTGCAAAACTGGCTTTTTTGCTCCCTCTGGGACTTTGCCTTTAACTCTGTGTCTGCCGGTGAAGCTGTTCTTACTTTCATTTTTGGCACGGCTCTGGCCACAAGTGTTTTGCACTAACTGGCTAAACAGAGCTGGACCATGCTGGTCTTGTCTGTGCTATATTTAACCATAAGTCAATATAAGGAAATTGATCTGGGTGCCCAGGCTGTCCTCCAACCCCTGTCACCACCTTAAATACACGGTCAATTATTTCCCTATCTATAGTTCCTTTGGTTGGCCATCCAACACCAAAAGAAGGCCATTTGAATTCACAGAGAGTTCTCAACCTCTAGGAGGTTAGCGTAACTCCATAATCTCCTGCAAAACCTTTATTAAAGTTCTCTAACATGCACCCAATGGAGTGTGTTTTGATGACTTTCCTCCTATTTCCTCGCTTTACGATGCAGCACACCCACTCTTCCTTTTGCCTCAGACCCACCAGATCATCTCCTATTATGGGAGTTTTCAGATGCCACTTGGCTTAAGAAAGGGTTTTATTCCCACCATAACTCTGAGATGTGGGGCAGCTCCTATTAGCTGTATGCGGTTCGCCACTAGTGCAGGTTGGCCCCGCACTTGGCTTGGAGCACACAGACCATGCTAAGAGATCTGTGACTCCCCATGCCACTCCCACATTGGTTCCTCCCTGAACTGTATCTTTCACACACTTTCACACACCTCCCCACTCCCAGTTCGTGTGTTCCTAATTGGGGTTTGAGCCACTCTCACCACCTCCAGTTTTCTTTTCCTAACCGACTTGGGGAGCCACTCTTGCATTGTGTGCCAGGTAGGGTGTGAGATTCATCTGAATTGGCGAGCCTCTCTCACCACCTCCAGCCTCTCTGGGTCAGATTACTAGTTACACCCTTGGAGGTGATCAGGCTCCCCTTCCGTCCTTATGGGACGGATCCTGTCTTTGGTCCCAAAACTTTACTGCAGTCCTGAAGAAATCACACTGCTCCTGGAATCATCCTGTAGCCCCTCAGGTTCTGTTGTGCTGCTGGGTGGGGGCACCAGGTCACAGGAGAGCCGATCTCCCCTCTGGGCTGAAGTTCTTCCAGCAGCGCCTGGGGTCACAGGTTTCTTTCCCTTGACCCTGGGCTCCAGCCCCACAAGAAAAGGAGAAAGTAAACCTGTCATCTCCACTCCTCCTGTCTGGCTCACCAAAAAGTTCTGAGAAACTGAGGACCAGAGAGACTGATATGGGAAAACAGGAGGATTTTTTTTTTTAAGGTACACACTGGCTCAGTGGATTCATATCCAAAAAGCTGAGCATTGAACAAAGACTGAGCAGGATTTTTATAAGCAGGCTTACAGAAGCAAAACAATGGCAGTTAATCATACAATGACAGGTAATGTAATCTATTACATAACTGTGGCCTTGCATAGCTGGTGGCCTTGTAGCTGCATCAAAAGAAAAAAGAAGAACTGGCTAAATACAGACATTTGCCATTTTTCTTTCTTTTTTTTAATCACCCTTGCTCTGGAGCAGTGGGTGTCTGGAGCCTATTCCTTTCTTTCAACTTCTCCAACAGCATTATCTTATAACTGTCCTTGAAATGAGCTTGCTAGGCAGAGGAAAACTTGTTTTTTGTTTGTTTGTTTGTTTGTTTTACCTTTGCCTGACACATTCTGGGCCTTGGCTTTTACTTCTCAGACTAGGTCACTATGACCTTCTTATAGCTTTGTCTGTAACTTTTCTTGGAGTAAATGAATGTAGTATTTATTGTTATTATTGTGTTTAAATTTCTGCCTCAAGACCAGACTACGTAGTAAAGCAAGACCCCATCACTATTAAAAAAATTAATAGAAAATAGCATATATGATGGGGCATGGTGGTTCATGCCTGTAATCCCAGCACTTTGGGAGGCCAAGGCAGGTGGATCATCTGAGGTTAGGAGTTCGTGACCAGTGAGGCCAATATGGTGAAACCCCAACCCTACTAAAAATACAAAAATTAGCTGGGTGTGTTGGCTCGCACCTGTAATCTCAGCTACGCAGGAGGCTGAGGCAGAAGAATCACTTGAATTTGGGAGGTGGAGGTTGCAGTGAGCTGAGATCATGCCATTGCACCCCAGCCTGAGTGACAGAGTGAGACTTCATTTCAAAATTAAAAAAAAAAAAGAAAAGAAAATAGCATGTGGAATATCTCTGTGGTTTTCTTAAAAACAAAGCAAAATCTGTCATTTAAAATCACAATAACATTGCTGGGCACCATGGTTCACTTGAGTCCAGGAATTCTGAGACTAGCCCAGGAAATGTGGTAAAATCTTTTCTCTGCATGAAATACAAAATATTAGCCAGGTATGCTGCCACGTGCTGGAAGTTCCAGCTACTCAGAAGGCTGAGAGGGGATGATTGCTTGAGCCTGGGAGGCAGAGGTTGCAGTGAGTCAAGATTGCAACACTGCACACCACCCTGGGTGACACCCAATCTAAAAAAAAAAAAAGTCTTTCAATCCTTTTGTCCAGATGCCCACAAAATACCTGCCATGTTTTATGTTGTCTTGGTTCCCTCCTAGGGTCCCATTAGAACACTTAGTCCCATCCAGCCCAGCCCTCACCTTACTTTGTAATGTAGGCCTGATTTCTTTCAGTGAAACCTTGACCTTAACCTTGAGAAAAATTACACCCTCAGTAGTTCCTGTCTTCCACCTGAATGGGCATATGATCTACCATGTTAGGTAGCATAAAACCCAGGTGCCCAGTGGATACACAGAGATTTTTATTGTGTTTTTTAGGGATGACATCCCTGTCTTCTTAAAGCTGCTTTAATGCTGAAATGTTTTGATACTTTTGATGTGGCCAAAGATTCTCCAATAAAGATATATATATATTCTAATGTCAGAAACAGATTAAATCCTTCCCTGTATCACTATGAAGGTCACATA
The DNA here is from genome assembly GCF_000001405.40 of Homo sapiens. Lineage (NCBI taxonomy): Eukaryota > Metazoa > Chordata > Mammalia > Primates > Hominidae > Homo > Homo sapiens. The sequence goes on along the minus strand of NT_187517.1, from coordinate 29,108 downwards.
TTAGTCAAACTTTACCAGTGTTTGTGGAATAAGTGAATAAATGAGTTTTAGACCTTCATCCTGTTATTACTTCTTTCACTTTCATAAATGCCTATCTAATTTAATCACTTCATGAGAAGAAAATTGAAAACTCAATCAGGGTTAACTGGGTGGAAGTTCACGATCCAGTTGGATGTCGTTTTCGAATTGAAAGTTGGTAGTCAAGAAGGGGGTTGTAGTGAGAAAGGTCAATAAAAGCTCCTGAAGGTGCACAGAAGAGACCCAAAGCCCTGGCTCCTGGAGCTACTGCTTGATTCTCACAGAGGTCCCGGCACCCTGCAAAGTGAGTCCAGAACTGGCAAGTCACCACTTTTTAGGGACATGCCCATTTGATCTGATCTTCTGTATAGCAAGTCATACAAAAGTCTGGAAGACACTAGCACATACACTGTGAAGAGAAGTCTGGGATAAGGGGAAGATTATAGGAGATGTTTGCTCTGTGGTTTTGGAATGTTTTGCATTCAGAATACTGTCCAGAGAAGGGAAAAAGGATGAAAAACAAATGAAGCTCGCCCTCATGTACCTCTATGTACCTCCTACCATGCTGGACTTTCTTGTTTTGTTTCATTTTGTTTTTCTTTCTTTCTTTCTCTCTCTCTCTCTCTCTCTCTTTCTTTCTTTCTTTTTCTTTTTTTGATACGGTATCTCACTCTGTTGCCTAGGCTGGGGTGCAATGGCATGATCTTCGATCACTGCAACCTCCACCTCCTGCGTTCAAGCAATTCTCCTCCCTCAGTCTCCCCAGTAGTGGGGACTACACCTATGCACCACCACGCCCAGTCAATTTTTGTATTTTTAATAGAGACAGGATTTCAATCATGTTGGCCATGCTTGTCTCAAACTTCCGACCTAAAGTGACCCACCCACTTCGGCCTCCCAAATGCTGGGATTACAGATGTGAGCCACTGCACCTGGCCAATTGCTGTACTTTCATGATACACATGGAGTATCCACAGTATCACAAGGGCTATTTTTTCCATAATCCAACTTATTTGTATTATTGGTAGTGAGCTACTGTTGACGTCCCCACGTTAGCAATTTAGTGGCTATACTGATGATAAGCATTTCCATGCATCATGTGGTCAACAGCATTTGCTACCAAGTGCCACGTTCCATGCTCAGCAGTGGGACCACAGGATGATCGAGACAAAGTTCCTGACCTTTAGCAGCAATATCGAACAAGTGAGATTGTCAAGAAAGAAAAAATCCTTGTAAAACATACCATACCCCTACGATTCAGTCATCATGCTCCCAGGTATTTAACGAAGGGAGTAAACCCACACCTGGATGTTTATAGCAGCTTTATTCATAATCGCCAAAACTTGGAAGCAAGAAAGATGCCCATCAGTGGGTGACTGGATAAAGAAACTGTGATCCATCTGGTCAGTGAACTATTACAAAGCCATAAAAAGACATGAAAGATTCCTAAATGCACGTTATTGTACAAGTGAAAGAAGGCAATGTGAAAAGACTCATCCTGTTAGACATTCCAGAAAAGCCTTCTGCCTTTTTCTATGGAGATGGTAGAAAACCCACTGGTTGCGAGGGATTTGGAGTACAATGGGATGAATGGAAAGAGGACAGAGGACTTTTAAGGAAACAAAACTACTCTGCATGATGCTCTAATGGTGGATACATGTCATTATCCCTTTGTTAAAATCCATAGAATATACAAAACCAGCAATGATCCTTCATGTAAACTATGGACATTGGGTGATAATGATGTGTCCCTGTGGCTCATTGATTGTGACGAATGCTCTGTGCTGGTGTGGGTGCTGATCCTGTGGGGGTGCTGTGTATTGAAGGGGGAAGAAGGTAGATGAGAACTCTGCAGTTTCTGCTTAGTTTTTCTGTGAATCTAAAACTGCTATAAAGAAAAAAATAGGCTGGGCGTGGTGGCTCACATCTATAGTCGTAGCATTTTGGGAAGCCGAGGCGGGTGGATCACCTGAGGTCAGGGGTTCGAGACCAGCCTGGCTAAAATGACAAAACCCTGTCTCTACTAAAAAATAATAATAATAATAATACAAAAATTAATCAGGTGTGGTGGTGCATGCCTGTAATCCCAGCTACTCTGGAGGCTGAGACAGGAGAATTGTTTGAACCCTGGAGGCAGAGGTTGCAGTGAGCTGAGATCGTACCACTGCACTCCAGCCTGGGTGAAAGAGTGAGACTCCATCTCCAAAATAAATAAATAAATAAACTCAAGGCTGGGTGCGGTGGCTCATGCCTATAAGAGCTCACTCCCAGCAATTTAGGAGGCCGAGCCAGGTGGATCGCTTGAGCCCAGAATTTCAAGACCAGTCTGGGCAACATGGTGAAGCCTGGTCTTCACTAAGAATACAAAAATAAGCCAGGCATGATGGTGCATGCCTGTTGTTCCAGCTACTAGGGGGACTGAGGCAGGGAGATCACCTGAGCCTAGGAGGTCAAGGCTGCAGTAAGCCGTGATCATGCCACTGCACTCCAATCTGGACGACAGAGTGAGACTTTGTCTCCAAATAAAATAAAATAAAATAAAATAAAATAAAATAAAATAAACTCAATATTTTTAAAAACTGTAATGTTTCCTTTCAAAGCTAAAATTGTATTATTCTAAATATATTTTAAAGAAGAAATGATTATTGTTCAGTGTCTTTAAAATTGGTTTTTAAAATCTCATTTGTTTTGACATTTCAAACCAAGTTAAGTATTCTTTTTCTCACCCTCCTTGAGACGGAGTCTTCCTCTTTCACCCAGGCTGGAGTGCAGTGGTGCATTCTCGGCTCACTGCAACCTTTGCCTCCCAGGTTCAAGCGATTCTCTTGCCTCAGCCTCCTGACTATCTGGGATTACAGGCGCCTGTCACCACGCCAGGCTAATTTTTTGTATTTTTCGTAGAGACGGGGTTTCATCATGTTGGCCAGGCTGGTCTGGAACTCCTGACCTCGTGATCTGCCCACCTCGGCCTCCCAAAGTGCCAGGAATACAGGCATGAACCACCACACCTGGCCATTAACCATTCTTAACATATCACGTTGCATTCTTTAAAAGTTCTAATCTTTCATGTACATAAATTACAACACAAATATTTGTACTCTAATAGTATTCACATTATAGTAAATTTTTTTTCATGCTCTGTCACCCAGGCTGGAGTGCAGTGGCGCGATCTTGTCTCATTGCAACCTTCGCCTCCCGGGTTCAAGTGATTGTCCTGCCCCAGCCTCCTGAATACCTGGGATTACAGGCGAATGCCACCACTCCCAGCAAATTTTGTGTATTTTTAGTAGAGACGGGGTTTCACCATGTTGGCAAGGCTGGTCTCAAAATCCCGAGGCTGCCTTGGCCTCCCAAAGTGGTGGGATTAGAAGTGTGAGACACCATGCCCGGCCATAATAATAAATTTTATTTTATCTTTTTTTTTTTGAGACGGAGTTTTGCTACTGTTGCCCAGGCTGGAGTGCAATGGCTCAGTCTGAGCTCACCGCAACCTCCACCTCCCAGGTTCAAACGATTCTCCCGCCTCAGCCTATCGAGTAGCTGCAATTACAGACGTGCGCCACCACGCCTGGCTAATTTTTTGTATTTTAAGTAGAGAAGGGGTTGCTTCATGTTGCTCAGGCTGGTCTCAAACTCCCAACCTCAGGTGATCCACCTGCCTCAGCCTCCCAAAGTGCTGGAATTACAGGCGTGAGCCACTGCACCTGGCTCATAATAGTACATTTTTAAAAACACCATAAAATATAATCCTTGCAACACTCAATTATACCATCTGGTCGGATCTATCAGCAGATGGCACCCGAGACATACGGATTGGAAATTTTGATCTTATTATGAATGAATCCAGTCCAGAAATGCCCACCCTGCCCCCTGCTGGCTCCTGGGGCTCTGCTCTTTGGGGGAATCGTGATGAAATTGTGGCAGAGAGTAGAAGTTGAGCCCCATTGCATGCCCTGAGTTCTTGTTGCCTCTCTATTATCAGGAAAAGGAGGTGAGATTGAAAGATGAAAAATGCTGGGACTTCTGCTGAGAAGAGAAAAAAGAACAAGATGTATTGATCTTACTGTATGCCAGACCCCATGCCAAGCCCTAAACATGAACCATCTCATTGGATCCTACCTAGGTCCCATAAGCTGTTGGACATCATCATCCTCATTTTACAGGAAGCTGAGGCTCTTGGCTAACATCCCTGACAGCAACACCAGCCCCTGAGTACTCAGCAGGATCCTTCACTTGGATGCCCGCTATGCAGGCTTCCTCAGCACAGGGAAGGTCACTCATCACCCACAGGCCCTTGATCGTTATCCACCCTTTGATGCTGTCAGATTCCAGAACACGCTGCACTAGTCTCTTCCTTCATAGGGAGAGAGGGAAGGTGTTATGAGAAAATCTCTCATCAATCTGACCTAGCTCCCCCAAAAGATGTAACTTTTAAAATGTCAGATGGAAATATTTAAAAAGTGTTACATGCCTGTATAGTTTTAGTATTTTACTTAAAGGGAATGTGGCTGTCTTTACTGGCTACAACCAGTTTAATTCAAGAAGGGCTGCTGGTCATCAGGGGAACAAGCAAGGTTTGGTGCTGCCCAGAGTCTCCAGCTAATACACAATATGGACATACCCTTCCAGGGCAGCGAGAAGAGAGTGGCTCCTTGTGCAGTGAAGCTGACATCCACCAACTAAGGCTTCTGGAAGCATGTGGAGACTCACAGGGAGTGGGCAGGGTCTCAGCATCTGGCTAGCGGTGAAAGACCCTGAGAAGAAGGTGCTTTCCGTGTGGATTGGCTCACTGTTCTTGCCCAGTAATGTTCCAGGCCTTTGGTGTCCACCTGGTGTGTATTAACCCACTGAACAGCCACAGAAACTAACAAGGAGTTAACAGACATCTAAAGAAGTGAAGAACTGGAGGAGGCCAAGCCAAGCGTGGTGGTCCACGCCTATACTCCCTGCATTTTGGGAGGCCAAGGCAGGAGAATCACAAGCTCAGGAGTTCCAGATCAGCCTGGGGAAGACAGCGAGGCCTTGTTTCTACTAAAAAAAAGTATCCAGGTGTGGTGGCTCACACAGCTGTAGTCCTAGCTACTCAGGAGGCTGAGGTGGGAAGATCGCCTGAACCCAGGAAATTGAGGCTGCAGTGAGGTATGATTGTGCCACTGCACTGTAGCCTGAGTGACAGAAGACCTTTAAAAAACAAAAACAAAAGCAAAAGCCTGACACAGTGGCTCACACCTGTAATCCCAGCATTTTGGTAGGCCTACTTGCATGAATCACCCAAAGTCAGGAGTTTGAGACCAGCCTGACCAACATAGTGAGGAAACCCTGTCTCTACTAAATATACACAAATTAGCTGGGCACGGTGGTGCATGCCAGTAATCCCAGCTACTTGGGAGGCTGAGGCAGGAGAATCATTTAAACCCCAGGTGGAGGTTGCAGTCAGCTGAGATGGCACCATTGCACTCTAAACTCCAGCCTGGGCAACAAGAGTGAAACTCTGTCTCCAATAAAAGAATGGGAGGAAAGTGATTACAATAACCAAATTTCATTTAAATGCCTTGATTTTCTTGGGCTGCATCTTATTGATTGGACAACTCAGTCAGTGCCTTTTGTTTTTTCCATCAATAACTGAAGATTCCTGAGGCTTAAACTGGAAAACAGGTTACTTAATAATAGAGGGCACCAGACAGATTCTGCTCAGTTTTCCTTTATTTCTGATTGTTTATTTACAACCATCCATGCAAGAGTAACTCCCTCATGTATTCTCAAGCCTGAATTCCACTCTAGACATTCAGATTCCCATTTTCGACTCTACAGGATACACGTTCCCAAAGTCCCATCGAATCCATGGCAACATTTCCCCCAAGTCCTGCCCCTGCTTGATCAGCATTCCTTTCCCACTTTCAGAGCCCATGTGTGAAACGATGGGTTCTGTGCTCCCTTTAGGATGTACCTAAGACCTAGGTTTTAGTTTCCAAGTGTCCAGAAGAAAGCGTTTGACATACCCATCCAAATAGGCAGGCATTCAACAGCAGTATTGATCTGCCTCCAGGTCATAAAATGACCTGTTGCCACAGTCAGGGCAGTAGTCAGTACCGAACAAGATCCTCTTGGGGTGCCTTAAGTCCCTAACTCTCTTCATCAGCTCAGCCCTAATCTGAGTAAATCTGCTCCAGCAGAGAGTACCATCAGCACCATAACTCTCCCGTGGGGCAGGATACAGCTCCAGGCATAAGTTTTTGAGTATGATTGTGTGGCTCAGCAGGTTCTCCAGGGTGGCCATGGAGATGGGATTTCCACAGAAGCTGAAGGTGTTGAGCTCAAAGCAGCGGCTCAGGGCAGGCAGGATGGCGTTGACTTGGGAGTCTATGATGCCACAGTCATCTAAATCCAGGTACTCAAGGGTGGCTGCAACTTTTTCTAGGAGAATTTGGAGAGGCACAAGACTGTAATTGGTCAGTCTGATGCCACTCAGGTCCAGGGTCTTTAGTTGACTGATACTCGGGCACTGGGATAGATGCTTCAAGTCTGATTCCAAAAGCACACAGTTAGTTATTGTGAGGACCTTTAACGAGGTCTTCAGACAGCTGGGGAGAGAGAGCAAGAAGTTAATTCTGGGGAATCATAGGGGTGAGTGGAGGGTGGTGGGGAATGGCTTCAAGGTAATGGATGGAGACCATTTTGCCCAAGTCCAGGATCATTCTCATGGCCGGATGGTCAACACTTCGGATGATGTGTGATGAAGAGCTTTGCCACCGAGGTCAATTCCACTTTAGGCCCGGCCCAGTAACTCACACCTGTAATCCCAGAACTTTGGGAGGCTGAGACTGGTGGATTCCTTGAGATCAGGAGTTTGAGACCAGCCTGCTGAACATGGCAAAACCTCCTCTCTACTAAAAATCCAAAAATTAGCCAGCTGTGGTGGCGGGAGCCTGCAATTCCAGCTACTTGGGAAGCTGAGGCAGAAGAATCGCTTGAACCCAGGAGGTGTAGGTTGCAGTGTGCAGAGATCATGCCACTACACTCCAGCCTGGGTGACAGAGAGAGACTCTGTATTAAAAAAAAAAAAAGGAGAAAAAATAATTCCATTTGAGGCTGAGTCATTTCACCATCATTTATAGGAATGGATCAAGTTCACAGAATCCCTAAAGCTCCCTTTCCTCATCTGTCAGGCAGAAAACCACATCCCTGGGCCGCAGAAGCCCAGTGGAGATGCAGGCATAAAGGACAAACCCAGACAGGATCCTGCAACATCAGCTGGGGTGGGCGGGCTGCAGGCGTCCCTGACACGCCTGTATCATCAGCAAACCATCTATCACTTTCACCATTCTTTGTGCCTGCTCCCTGACCCTCTGTTTCAGAATCATGCATTGCCTAGGTAATTAATTTACCTGGAGCTCAAAACACTTTTACAACAGGGAATTAGAGATGGGATCATTCATGTTCACCAAACTATGGGGCACAAAGCTGATTTTCTGACATGTGCAGGTTTGCTGAGCATTCCCCTCTTCAGTGCCCACTTCACTTCCCTACTTTACATCATCTGCTTAAAAATTATCTTGTTGGCTGGGCGTGGTAGCTCTCGCCTATAATCCCAGCACTTTGGGAGTCCAAGGTGTGTGGATCACCTGAAGTCAGGAGTTGGAGAATCTCCTGGCCAACATGGTGAAACCCTGTCTCTACTTAAAATATAAAAATTAGCCAGGTGTGCTGACTCATGCCTGTAATCCCAGGCACTCAAGAGGCTGAGGCAGGAGAATCGCTTGAACCTGGGAGGCAGAAGTTGCTGCGAGCTGAGATGTCACAAGTGCACTTTACCCTGGATGATCAAAGTGAAAATTCATCTCAGAAAAAAAAAAAGTTATCTTGTTTGTTTTTACTTTTATTTCTTCACTTCTGACAGGGGTCTTGGGATGTTACCCAGACTGGTCTTAAACTCCTAGGCTCAAGCTATCCTCTTGCCTCAGACTCCCAAAGTGCTAGGATTACAGGCATGAGCCACCGCCCCTGGCCTATTTTTCATCATCTTAACTTAGACACACGTCCTCAGGAAGAATTCAGAAAGGCACCCTCACTAGATCTGAATCCCCCAGTAGCTAGCTTCCTAGTATGGCAACCTCTCTATAGCATCTCCCCTAGCTGATCCCTCTGCCTCTATTGGGATGGTTGCATGATACCCATTTCAGGACAGGGCCGCCAACAGGACAATGTATGGACATTCTAGTGTCCCCTTCACTGTTTCATCCTCATAGGCTGGCTCACAGTAGATGCCCACTAGCGTTTAGTGAAACAGGCTCTGCTGTGGTCTGCAGAGAAAGCTCACCACCCTCCCTCACCTGAGCAGCTGGTCCAGGTGGCCTTCGAGGAAAGAAACAGAGTTCATATAAAGCTTTTGGAGGCAGTGCAGCTTGAGGAACTGAGTGGTGAACTGGGTAACAATCTCCTTCTTCTGCTCTGGGGAAACTTGGATCATTCAGAGGCAGTCCCATTTTAGGCTCAGTCCTTTCACCATCACTGGTGTAATTGGTTCAAGGCCATAAAATCTCTAAAGCCTCTTTTCTTCATCTTCCAGCAGAAAGCTTCATCTCTGGGCCACAGGAGCCCAGTGGAAGAGATGCCCAAAGAACTGACCTGAGCAAGGTCTAGGGACATCAGCTAGGGCTACCTGCTTTCAGAGGCTCCCTGACATGGCCACATCTGCAAACCACCTGTCACTTTGTACCACTCTCGTGCCTACTCCCTCACCTCCATCCCAGAAGCACGCATTTCCCATGTCACTTACCTTTCCTGGAGTTCAAAACAACCTTTTACAGACAGGGAATCAGAGAGAGGATCATTCATGTTCACTAAGCTGTGAGGACAGAGCTTCCTCTGTGAAACGCACAGGTTTGGTGCACTTTCTCTTCTTTTACACCCTCCCCTCTGTTGCCTCTTTTTTATCATATTAACTTTAAACACACTTCCTAACAAGGAATTCACAAAAGCTATTCATATTTATCATATTAACTTTAAACACACTTCCTAACAAGGAATTCCTAAAAGGAATTCACCCTCACTAGAGCTGAACCCTCCACTAACCAGCTCCCTACACGATGTCCCTCTCTGTAGCTTCTACCCCAGGTCATCCCTCTGCCCTTACTGGAGCGATCCTGTGATACCCACTTCAGGATATAGAGCACCAAACAGGACAGTGCATTCTAGTGTCCCCTTCCCTAGACATCTCCAGTGGCTGGCACACAGTAGATGCTGATTGGTGTTTATTGTAACAAAAAAAGGCTGTGCTATGGCCCCCAGAGAAAGCTCACCATCCTTCCTCACCTGATCAGCTGGTCCAGGTGGCCTCTGAAGAAGCAGACCCTTCTTACATAAAGCATCTGGAGGTTCTCCAGCCTGAGGAGCACAGAGCTGAATTCAGCAACTAACTGTTCTTGGCTGTCAGAGCTTAGCAGGTAACGACAGCCATCGGAGATGAAGAGTTTGCGAAGATTCCTCATCTGGCTCAGGTAAGGGCTAAACTCTACTATCATACACGGCCAGCACATGTTCCAAATTTCCAACACTTGGATACTGTCTGGGTATACTGTTTCCAATATGTTTCTGAAATTTAGAATGCTCATTGAATAATTCACCACCTTAGTACAGCACAGGTGTACTGAACCTCTTCTGTGCTGGACCCACCCAGAGAAGAAGCTCAGATCTTCATCCATGAATTTTTCCTTGAGGCAAACATCCATGAACACCTTCAAGGGCTGCTTCTCTCCTGTCCTTGGACAGTCCTCCACTGTCTGCCTCTTACTCATGGCCTCTGGGGAGCAGGACAGGGGCCTGGCTCCAGACCATATGGTCCAAAAATTCTCATCAACATCCCGCAATTCCAGCACTTGAAGTTTCCGCCTCCTGTGAGTAACATAGGGGAAAAGCTCAGAACGTAGACAAGGACCCACCCCTGACCTGGGCTTTCACTCCACATCAAGGACTTCAGCTGCTTTTTTCCTCAGCGCCCCTCCTTCTGTCTCTTCTCCATCCCTTTCCCCCTTGGATTCTGCCTGGTACCCACTTCTAGTGCCTTTACCTTCCACTGGGAGCAGGCAGGTTCCTGTTTCCTCAGTGGACCCTGTATGGTGAGCAGTCCTTTCCCAGAGGAGCTGGGCAATAGCCAAGAACGTTCCCAGCTTTCTCACTGGCACCATCAGAAGCCCCTGGGCCACCCCGGGTTCCCAATTTGTCTGACCCAGCTGTTTAGTCCCTGGACACCTGGGCCCTCCCCACCTGGGTCACCTCACCTGGGGCGAACCTTTTGGGCAAGCAGGCAATCAATCCCATCCACTACATAATGTAAGATCTCCAGATCAGGCGTCTTCATCAGGGACCCCAGAGGGAGGCAGGGGAAGGGCCAGGCCTGCACCATCACCTTCAGAACCTCGCAGCGTCTGCTAGTGAAGGCCTCCACGAACAGTGGGGGGAAGAGCTCCCTGGGCAGCTCATCCAAGATGGAGATGGCCAAGGCCTGGTCCCCCAGCAGGCTCTGCCCTGCCAGCTCCAGGAGTCTGCGTGGGGCCTGTAGGCTCATCCTCATAAATCTGCAAGAAAACAAATCCAGAGAAAAGACAAACTTATCAGGCCAGTCCTCTCACACCCTGACTTCTCCTGGGCCAAAAGTCACTACTCTGGCAGATGTGAAAGAGTCCTAAGTTTACCCCAATTCGACTCTGCAATAATTGGCCACACAGACATAGTTCTGCCCTTCTGGTACCAAGAAGAGTGTCTCCTAACCTCCAAGGAACGGGCAAAATCACTCCTACTCCATGAATTTTCATTAATTGCTCCACCCAACTCTATTAGCTCTGGGAAGTGTTACCAAGAGTCTTCAAAGCTCAGCTCCTTTTTTGAGAAAAAATGTCTTCTCAATTTAAGGATCTAAAACAATGGTCATGTGGCTGGGCTTGGTGGTTCACAACTGTAGTCCCAGCACCTTGGAGGCCAAGGCGGGCGGCTCACTTGATGTCAGGAGTTAGAGACCAGCCTGGCCAACAAGGTGAAACCCAGTCTTTACTAAAAATACAAAAAGTAGCCAGGCATGGTGGCAGGTGCCTGTAACTCCAGCTACTCGGGAGGCTGAGGCATAAGAATCACTTGAACCCAGGAGGCGGAGGTTGCAGTGAGCTGAGATAGTGCCACTGCACTCCAGCCTGGGCAATAGAGCAAGACTCAGTCTCAAAAAAAAAAAAAAAAAAAAACAAAATAAAACAATAAAACAATGGTAATGGGAGTCTCCTGTGGCCCCAAACAGTCTACAGTCTCAGTTCCCACAGTGAACTTGGCTGGGAGAGACTAAAGGGATATTTTTAATTAGACACCATTATGTTCACTTTCAAAAAAGTAATGAGGGGCCACACATGGAGGCTCACAGCTGTAATTCCAACACTTTGGCAAGCCAAGGCAGAACAATCACTTAAGCCCTGGAGTTGCTGACCAGCCTGGGCTACATAGTGAGACCCTGTCTCTCCAAAAAAATACAAAAAATAGATGGAAGTGATGGCGCACACCTGTAGTCCCAGCTGCTCTGCAGGCTGAGGTGGAAGGATGGCTTGTGTCTGGGAAGCAGAAGTTACAGTGATCTGAGACTCTGCCACTGTACCCCCAGCCTGGGCAGAACAGCAAGACTCTGTCTTAATAAAATAAATAAATAAATAAAATATTACCCACTTTGGAATGGAGTCTAGAGAAACAAATTGATCCCACATTCAGAACAAAGACTCCATTCTTGAAAATGGTGTATGAGACCAGTCATGTTGGCTCATGCCTGTAATCCCAAGACTTTAGAAGGCAAAGTGGGAGGTTTGCTTGAATCTAGGTGTCCCAGACCAGCCTAGGTAACAAACCAAGACCCCATCACTATAAAAAAAAATAATAATAGGCCTGGCACGGTGGCTCACACCTGTAATCTCAGCACTTTGTGAGACTGAGGCGGGCAGATCGCCTGAGTTTGGGAGTTTAAGACCAGCCTGGCCAACATAGTGAAACCCTATCTCTATTAAAAATACAAAAATTAGCCAGGTGTGGTGGCACACACCCACAGTCCCAGCTACTTGGGAGGCTGAAGCAGGAGAATCACTTGAACCCGGGAAGCAGAATTTGCAGTGAGCCAAGATCATGCCTCTGCACTCGAACCTGGGCAACAGAGTGAGACTCTCTCTCAAAAAAAAAAAAAAAGAAAAAGACAAAAACAAAACAAAAACAAAAAAATTAGCCGGTTATACTGGTGCATGCCTGAATTCCAGCTATTCAGAAGGCTAGAACTTATGAGTAGGGAGGATGGCTTGAGCCCAGAAGGCAGAGGTTGCAGTGAGTCGAGATCACAATACTGCATTCCACCAAGAATGACGCAGGAAGACAATGCCTCAAAGAAAAAAAAAAAAAAGACTTCAGTCAATTGCATTATTTTTCAACTGCTTGATTCGGAACTCTGAAGCTGGGCATGGTGGCTCACACCTATAATCCCAGCACTTTGAGAGGCCTAGGTGGGCAGATCACGAGGTCAGGTGTTCGAGACCAGCCTGGCCAACATGGTGAAACGCTGTCTCTACTAAAAATACAAAAATTAGCCGGGCATGGTGGTGGGCACCTGTAATCCCAGCTACTCAGGAGGCTGAGGCAGGAGAATTGCTTGAACTTAGGAGGCGGAGGTTGCAGTGAGCCGAGACCTCATCATTGCACTGCAGCCTGGGTGACAGAGCAAGACTCCATCTCAGAAAAAAAAAAAAAACATTTGAAATGACATAAACTAAACACAAATAAAATATTTGGAGTGAAGAGATAAAACTGCATTAGAGAAAAAATTAAAGCCTACATCTGTTCATCTGAAAAACAGGCAGGAAAATTCGCTGTGCCACCTTGGCCTTCATGTCGCCATCTCTACTGGCTGACTGTGGGTCATAGGAGTGCCCCTGTGAAGGTACCTGACTTACCAGATCTGGACTCACTTTGCAGTCTGCTCGGACCTCTTGGAGAATCAAGCAATAACTCCAGGTACCACAGCTTGGGGTCTCTTCTGTGGATGTTCACAAGCTTTCTTGGACCTTTCTGTTTTTTTGAGATGGAGTTTCGCTCTTGTTGCCCAGTTTGGAGTAAAATGGCGTGATCTCGGCTCACCGCAACCTCCACCTCCTGGATTCAAGTGATTCTCCTGTCTCAGTCTCCAAAGTAGCCGGAATTACAGGCATGCGCCACCACACCTAGCTAATTTTGTATTTTTAGCAGAGATGGTGTTTCACCATATTGGCCAGCCTGGTCTTGGGAACTCCTGACCTCATGACCCACCCTCCTCCTCAGCCTCCCAAAGTGCTGGGATTACAGGCATGAGCCACGGCTCCCAGCAACTTTCTTGGACTTTCCTAATCCCACCTCCTTTATCAACTTCCAGATTCCTATCAGAAAGTGATACCTGATTGGATTTCTGAATTCCACCCAGTTAAGCCTGATTGAAGTTTTGGCTTTCTGCAGAATAATGGATTGAATCAGATATCCAATCATGAAACTGAAAGCACTGTAATTAGGGTGGAAGTCAAGAACTCATTTTGATGATTTTGATGTCACCAAAGAACTCCCAACCATAATATTTTCCGGTTTTGCTTTTCTGTCTAATCTCAGGAATAGGTTGAACCCTTCCCTGTCTTCCACTCAGGACTAGGAAGGTCACATATTACTACCACTCCATCTCTGCTTCTGGAGGGCATTAATGAGTGAATTCTTGACTTCCACCCGAACAAACACTGATGGAATTTACCAGTATGTGACCTTCTTTGTTCTGAGTGTGAGACAGGGAACTCTCACTCTGTTCCTGACATTAGAGAGAAAAACAAAACCTAAAAAGATTAATGTTGGGGAAATCTTTGGCCCCGTCAAAATTATCAAAATGGGCCAGGCGCGGTAGCTCATGCCTGTAATCCCAGCACTTTGGGAGGTCCAGGCGGGTGGATCACGAAGTCAGGAGATCGAGACCATCCTGGCCAACATGGTGAAACCTTGTCTCTACTAAAAATACAAAAATTAGCCGGGTGTGGTGGTGGGTGCCTGTAGTCCCAGCTACTCAGGAGGCTGAGGCAGGAGAATCACTTGAACCCAGGAGGCGGAGGTTGCAGTGAGCCAAGATCGTGCCAATGCACTGCAGCCTAGGTGACAGAGAGAGACTCTGCCTCAAAAAGCAAAACAAAACAAAATTATAAAAGGTTTCAGCCAGGCACTGTGGCTCACGCCTATAATCCCAGCACTTTGGGAGGCTGAGGCGGGTGAATCACGAGGTCAGGAGATCGAGATCATCCTGGCTAACAGTGAAACCCTGTCTCCACCAAAAATACAAAAAATTAGCCAGGCATGGTGGTGGGCTCCTTTATTCCCAGCTACTCCAGAGGCTGAGGCAGGAGAATGACATGAACCTGGGAGGCGGAGCTTGCAGTGAGCCAAGATCACGCCACTGCACTCCAGCCTGGGTGACAGAGCAAGACTCAGTCTCAAGATAAATGAATAAATAAATAAAAATAAAAATGTTTCAGAGTTTAAACTTTATAAGCCAGACACGGTGGCTCAAGCCTGTAATCCTGGCACTTTGAGAGGACAAGGTAGGCAGATCATGAGGTCAGCAGTTCGAGACCAGCCTGGCAAATATGGTGAAACCGTCTCTACTAAAAATACAATAATTAGCTGGGCATGGTGGGATGCACCTCTAGTCCCAGCTACTCAGGAGTCTGAGGCAGAAGAATCACTTGAACCCGGGAGGTGGAGGTGGCAGTGAGCCAAGATCATGCCACTGCACTACAGCCTGGGCGACAGAGGGAGACACCATCTCAAAAAAAAAAAAAAATCAGTGAATCATGGTGGTGCACACCTGTGGTCCCAGCTACTCTGGAGGCTGAAATGGGAAGATCCATTTTTTGATCCCCACGATGCAGAGGTTGCAGTGAGCCTAGATCAATCTACTGCCCTCTGGGCTGGGCAACAGAGCCTGTATCAAAAACAAAAACAAACAAAACAAAAAACAGCTTCATGAAGGCAGTGGTTTTATCCCTACAAAATTGAATTTAAATGTTCGTGTATATATTGGTCATTTGGGATTTAAGTTACCCATATGAGGAAATCGTATGCTCATTCGTGTGGAAGAGAGGTACCACTAAGGGTGTGATTGGTCTTAAGATTTTGTTCCAGGTTTCTCTGGAGGAAATCAGGTAACAATTACAAAGAGAAGTAAGGGTGGTGGCTGGGCTGGGCTGGGTTGGGCTTAGTGTTCCAATGGGACCTTGAGATTGAACCAAGGCATGGTCAATGTGTTGGGTTTTTGTGGGCATGAGGGAGACTCTTTCCAACATTGGCCAATGCCACCTTAACTGTGATCCTTATGGCCAAGGAGGATGCCTTCAGAACCACTTATGTAATCCTCCTTATTTTTCCTTTCAAAACCCTTGTCTTCCTTGACCTCCCTGAATAGTCTCACACCTATTCCCATTGCTTTGCTCATTTCATAAGAAAAAAATCCTTTTTTACTGAGTCTCTTTCTCTGTCTGTTAAGTACACCATATTTTTGTTGACACACAGATGAGTAACCCAGCTTTAGGATAAGAAAGGGTCAAAGGATCCCATTCTCCACCACTCGGAGGTAATGGGACGGTCATGGTTATTCTTCATCATAGCTGCGTCTGCACATTGCCAGTGAAATCCTGCAGATCGGCCAGGCTTGGTGGCTCACACTTGTAATCCCAACACTTTAGGAGGCCAAGTCAGGAGAATCACCTAAGGCCAGGAGTTCAAGACCAGCCTGGCCAACATGGTGAAACCCCATCTCTACTAAAAAATATATACATATATATAAATTAGCCAGGTGTGTTGGGGCATGCCTGTAATCCCAGCTGCTTGGGAGGCTGAGGCAGGAGAATTGCTTGAACAAGGGAGGCGGACATTGCAGTGAGCCAAGACTGCACCATTGCACTCCACCCTGGGTGACAGAGTGAGACTCCATCTCAAAAAAGCAAAAACAAAAACAAAAACCTGCAAATCACAGTTGGCGGGCTTCCAAACCAACCATCTGGGGAAGGGCTTAGGATTCATGGCTTACATCCTGTCCCTGAGTAAATCATCTGATCATGAGCTTCTCAAACTCTTCAAGTACTGACAAAGGCTTCACCTTCTGACATTGAGAAGGACGCTGATTTGATTTTGATCATGAAGTTTAACTGTCTTGCACTTCAAGCATTTTGGCCTGTTCATTGTCAACCTTGGTCAATGATTGTAACCTCTGTGTTGTACCCATCATTGAAGAAGGACAACTCAGCTATGAGGAGTCCCACTGCCTTCTACACTCTCTCATGAAAGCATTCCAACTTATAATAGACTTTGGAACACATCCACTTTGTTGCTGTATGTTCCTGGGTCAATTCTCACATTCAGCTTCCAATAAACTTGTATCAAATTATTTTTCCCTCAACATCCTTAATTTCCATTGACACCAGATTGTGTGATTGTGGTTTAAATTGGGATAGAGGAGCAAGCATGGTGGTTAACACCAGTAATCCCAGCATTTGGAAAGCCAAAGTGGGCAGATTGTTGAGTCCAGGAGTTCAAGACCAGCCTGGGCAATGTGGCAAAACCTCATCTCTACAAAAAATACAAAAATTAGCTGGGCATGGTGGCATGCACCTGTACTCTCAGTGACTTGGGGGGCTGAGGTGGAAGGATCACTTGAGCCCAGGAGGCAGAGGTTGCAGTGAGCTGAGATCTGCCACTGCACTCCAGCCTGGGTGACAGAGTGAGAACCTGTCTTATAAATAAATGAATAAATAAATAAATAAATAAATAAATAAATAAGGCTGGGCACAGTGGCTCACACCTGTAATCCCAGCACTTTGGGAGGTCGAGGTGGGTGGATCACCTGAGGTCGGGAGTTCAAGACCAGCCTGACCAACATGGAGAAACCCCATCTCTACTAAAAATACAAAATTAGCCGGGCGTGGTGGCACATGCCTCTAATCCCTGCTACTAGGGAGGCTGAGGCAGGAGAATCGCTTGAACCAGGGAGGCAGAGGTCGTGGTGAGCTGAGATCACACCAATGCACTCCAGCCTGGGCAACAAGAGTGAAACTCCATCTCAAAATAAAAATAAAATAAAATAAATACATAAATAAATAAATGTAGGAAGAAAAAGTATTTTAATGAATTAGATGAAGTAGCCATTGCATGCTATCTCCATTAAAAGATAAGTAGGTTCCTCTACAAAATGCCCTGATTATTGATGCATCTAATAAACCAAACTATTGGCCGGGTGCAGTGGCTCACGCCTGTAATCCCAACACTTTGGGAGGCCAAGGTGGATGGATCACTAGGGCTCAGGAGTTTCAGACCAGCCTGGCCAACATGGCAAAACCTTGTCTCTACTGAAAATACAAAAAATTAGCCAGGTGTGGTGGAGAGCACCTGTAATCCTAGCTACTTGGAGGCTGAGGCAGGAGAACTGCTTGAACCCAGGAGGCAGAGGTTCCAGTGAGCCAAGATCATGCCATTGCTCTCCAGCCTGGGCAACAGAGTGAGACTCTGTCTCAAAAAAACAAAAACAACACAAACAAACAAAAGAAGCTATTATTTATTTCATACAGTAGAACTGTAGAGACAATCCCTTTGCCTCTCATGTTTCCATTAAACCAATGTCTAGTTTTTTAGTTTTTTGTTTTTTGGTTTTTTTATTGAGACGGAGTCTTGTTATGTTACCCTGGCTGGAGTGCAATGGCACCATCTCAGCTCACTGCAACCTCTGTCTCCCAGGTTCCAGCGATTCTCCTGCCTCAGCCTCCCAAGTAGCTGGAATAACAGGCACTCGCCATAATGCCCAGCTGATTTTTTTGTATTTTTTGTAGAGACGGGGTTTCACCATGTTGGCCGGGCTGGTCTTGAACTCCTGACCTCAGGTGATCTGCCTGCTTCGGCCTCCCAAAATGCTGGGATAACAGATGTGAGCCACTGTGCCCGGCCACCAATGTCTGGTTTTAGTAAGACGTTGATTACGTAGTAGAGGGTAACATGATCATGCTCATGTATTGTTTCATTTTGTTTTGTTTTGTTGTTTTGTTTTGTTTGGTTTTGCTTTGATTGAGACAGAGTCTCACTCTGTTGCCCAGGCTGGAGTGTAGTGTTGCCATCTCGGCTCACTGCAACCTCTACCTGCTGGGTTCAAGCGATTTTCCTGGCTCAGCCTCCCAATTAGCTGGGATTACAGGGGCCTGCCACTACACCCAGCTAATTTTTCTTGTACTTTTAGTAGAGATGGGGTTTCACCATGTTGACCAGGCTGGTCTTGAACTCCTGATCTCAAGTGATCTGCCCTCTTCAGCCTCCTAAAGTGCTGGGATTACAGGCATGAACTACTACCTCTGACTGTTGTTTTGTTTGTTTGTTTTTGTTTTTGTTTTTGTTTTGTTTTGTTTTTTGAGATAAGGTCTTCTTCACTCTGTTGCCCAGGCTAGAGTTCAGTGGCATAATCATAGCTCATAGCAGCCTTGAACTCCTGGACTCAAGTGATCCTTCTGCTGCAGCCTCCTAAGTAGTGGTCATGTTCTAATTTTATATCTATTTCCCTTACACATTGGCTTCCAATCTCCATAATGTGTGTCAAACCAAAGAGTCTGATCACAGAGGGAGTCTGGAACACTGCCTAGATCAACCCAGTTGCACTAAGGTTTTCTATGCACAGAAATAAATTTCCAGGCCCTGCTTGGTGGCTCACACCTGTTATCCCAGAACTTTTGGAGGCCGAGTCAGGCAGATTGCTTAAGCCCAGAGGCCAGGAGTTAGTGACCAGCCAGGGCAGCATGTTGAAACCCTGTCTCTACAAAAAAATAAAAAAACACAAAACCTAACCAGGTGTGGTGGCACACACCTGTAAACCTAGCTATTTAGGAGACTGATTTGGAGGATTGATTGAGACTGGCAGGTCAAGGCTGCAATAAGCCGTGATCGTGCCACTTCACTCCAGCCTGGGTTGCAAAACAAGACCCTGTCTCGAAAAAGAAAAACAAAAACAAAGATTAAAAAAAAATGTTTGCATAGCCAGCAATTGATTTGCTTAGTGAAAGAAGCTAAACTTTGAACAGTAGAACTTTGAGAATGTTCAGTTTGAGGCCAGGCACGGTAGCTTACACCTGTAATCCCAGCACTTTGGAAGGCCAAGGTGGGAGGATCACTTGAGGTATGGAGTTCGAGGCCAGCCTGGCCAACATGGTGAAACCCCGTCTCTACTAAAAATACAAAAATTAGCCCGGCATGGTGGTGTAAACCAGTAGTTACAGCTACTTGGACGGCTGAGGCAGGAGAATCGCTTGAACCCGGGAGGCAGAGGTTGCAGTGAGCAGAGATGGTGCCACTGCACTCCAGCCTGGTGACAGAGGGAGACTTTATCTCTTTTTTTTTTTTTTTTTTGAGACAGAGTCTCGCTCTGCTGCCCAGGCTGGAGTGCAGTGGCGCGATCTCGGCTCACTGCAAGCTCCGCCTCCCAGGTTCACGCCATTCTCCTGCCTCAGCCTCCCGAGTAGCTGGGACTACAGGCGCCCGCCACCACGCCCGGCTAATTTTTTGTATTTTTAGTAGAGGCGGGGTTTCATTGTGTTAGCCAGGATGGTCTCGATCTCCTGACCTCATGATCCACCTGCCTCTGCCTCCCAAAGTGCTGGGATTACAGGCGTGAGCCACCACGCCCAGCCGGGAGACTCTATCTCAAAAAAAAAAAAAAAAAAAATTCAGTAGTAAAACTTTTGGTTAGCAGGGCACGGCTGCTCACGCCTGTAATCCCAGCACTTTGGGAGGCCGAGGTGGGCAGATCACCAGAGATCACAAGTTCAAGACCAGCCTGGGCAACATGGGAAACGCTGTCTCTAGTAAAAATAAAAAATTAGCCAGGCGTGATGGTGCACATTTGTAATCCCAGCCACTCAGGAGGCTGAGGCAGGAGAATTGCTTGAACTCAGAAGATGGAGGTTGCAGTGAGCCGAGATCACGCCACTGCACTCCAGCCAGGACCACAGAGCGAGACTCTGTCTCCCCCAAAAAAAAAAAAAAAAAATTCAACAAACGTATTTAAACAAATAAATAGAATAAAAGCACCAGAAAATGATCATCTTAATTGCTGTAGGAAAAACATTTGAAAAAATTCAATGACTCATTAAGGATTTTAAAAATATTCTCAGCAAAATAAGAAAATAATTCCTCAATATGAATTGCTCAATGGGATTACAGGCACACACCATCCACCTTATCAGTCAGTCCCTTAGTAAATTCCATCAGTGTTTGTTAGGATTAGGGTGGAAGTCAAGAATTCATTCATTAATGCCCTCCACAGAGAATGAATTGTACTAATATGTGACCTTCCTTCCTATTTTTGAGTTTGAGACAGGGAAGGGTTCAATCCGCTCCTGAGATTAGACACAAAAACAAAACCTGAAAGCTTTATGGTTCAGAGATCTTTGGCTGGATCAACGTTATCAAAATGAATTCTTGACTTGCATTCTAATCCCAACACTTTCAATTTCATGATTGGATATCCAAGGGATTGAATGGACACCTGAATTCACAGGCTCAAGTGGGTGGAGCTTCAGAAATCCAATCAGGCATCACTCTCTGATGGGAAGCTGGTGGTTGAAAAGGGGAGGTGTGATGAGAAAGGTTCAAGAAAGCTTTTGAGCACCCCCAGAAGAGACCCAGAGCTGTGGTGCCTGGAGTTACTGCTTGGTTCTCCACAAGATCCGAGCACACTGCAAAGTGAGTCCAGATCTGGTAAGTCAGGGACCTCCACAAAGGGCACTCCTATGACCCACAGTCAGACAGTCAGGATGACGACATGGAGGTCAAGATGACACAGAGAATTCTCCTGCCTGTTTTTCAGATGAACAGATGTCGGCTTTGATTTTTCCTCTAATACACTTTTATCTACACTCCAAATATATATCTACATATATATTTTTGTTTCTTTGTTTGTTATGAGACAGAGCCTCACTCCGTTGCCTGGGCTGGAATGCAGTGGCACGATCTCGGCTCATTGCAACTTCCACCTCCTGAGTTCAAGCAATTCTCCTGCCTCAGCCTCCCGAGTAGCTGGGACTACAGGCGCCCACCACCACGCCTGGCTAATTTTTTTTGTATTTTTAGAGAGACAGGGTTTCACCATGTTGGCCAGGCTGGTCTTGAACTCCTGACCTCGTGGTTCACCTGCCTCAGCCTCCCAAAGTGCTGAGATTACAGGCATGAACCACCACGCCCAGCCACTCTCCAAATATTTTATTTCTGTTTTAGTTTATGCCATCTCAAAGTTCTCTTTTATTTTATTTTTTTGAGACAAACTTGCTCTGTCACCCAGGCTGGAGTGCAGTGGTGCGATCCTGATTCACTGCAACCTCCGCCTCCCGGATCAAGTGATTCTCCTGCCTCAGCCTCCCTACTATCTGGAATGACAGGCGCCCACCACTATGCCTGACTAAATTTTGTTGTTTTTTTTTTCCCATATTGCTTCAGGGCTTGATAAGCTTCTTCTTCTTTTTTTTTTTTTTGAGACGGAGTGTCACTCTTGCCCTGGCTGCAGGGCAATGGCACTTTCATGCGCGTCCTTGTTAAGAGACCACCAAACAGGCTTTGTGTGAGCAACATGGCTGTTTATTTCACCTGGGTGCAGGCGGGCTGAGTCTGAAAAGAGAGTCAGCGAAGGGAGATGGGGTGGGGCCATTTTATAGGATTTGGGAAGGTAATGGAAAATTACAGTCAAAGGGGGTTGTTCTCTGGTGGGCAGGGGTGGATCTCACAAAGTACATTCTCAAGGGTGGGGAGAATTATAAAGTACCTTCTTAAGGGTGGGGGAGATTACAAAGTACATTGATCAGTTAGGGTGGGGCAGGAACAAATCACAATGGTGGAATGTCATCAGTTAAGGCTGTTTTTACTTATTTTGTGGATCTTCAGTTACTTCAGGCCATCTGGATGTATACGTGCAAGTCACAGGGGATGCGATGGCTTGGCTTGGGCTCAGAGACCTGACAGGCACAATCTCAGCTCACTGCAACCTCCACCTCCCAGGTTCAAGTGATTCTCCTATCTCAGCCTCCCGAGTACTGGGATTATAGGCAACCACCATCCCACCTGGCTAATTTTTGTATTTTTAGTAGAGATGGGGTTTCACCATGTTGGCCAGGCTTGTCTCAAACTCCTGACTTCGTGATCCGCCCGCCTCGGCCTCCCAAAGTGCTGGGATTACAGGTGTGAGCCACCGTGCCCAGCCCTAATTTTGTATTTTTAGTAGAGGTAAGTTTTCACCATGTTGGCCAGGCTGGTCTTGAACTCCTGACCTCTCAAGTGATTAACCTGCCTTGGCCTCCCAAAGTGCTGGGATAATAGGCATGAGCTACTGGGCCCTGCCACATTTCAAAGTTCTTTTTTTTTTTTTTTTCTCCAAGAAGGAGTCTCACTCTGTCGCCCACGTTGGAGTGCAGTGTCGCGATCTCAGCTCACTGCAACCTCCGCCTCCCGGCTTCAAGCAATTCTCCCGCCTCAGCCTCCCAAGTAGCTGGGATTACAAGGCACCTGCCACCATGCGCAGCTAATTTTTGTATTTTTAGTAGAGATGAGATTTTGCCATGTTGGCCACACTGCTCTCAAACTCCTCACCTCACTGCAACCTCTGCCCCCCACGCTCAACGGATCCTCCCTCCTCAGCCTTCCAAGTAGCTGAGACTCCCATGATGGCTCACACCTGTAATTCCAGCAACCTTGAAAGGCCAAGGCAGCCAGATCACATGAGGCCAACTCCATCTCTACTTAAAATGCAAACATTAGCCGGGCATGGTGGTGCACACCTGGGTGACCCAGCAAGACTCTGCCTTAAAAAGGAAAAAAAAATGTATTTGTGCTTTGTTTTATGTCATTTCAAAATTCTTAACCAAAGAACTAAAAAAGAATCCAACTGGGCCAGGGACAGCAGCTCATGCCTGTAATCCCAGCACTTTGGGAGACCAAGGTGGGTGCATCACCTGAGGTCAGGAATTTGAGACCAGGCTGACCAACACAGTGAAACGCCTTCTCTACTGAAAATACAAAAATTAACTGGGCATGGTGGCACATGTCTGTAATCCAAGCTACTGAGGAGGCTGAGGCAGGTGAATTGCTTCAGCCCGCGAGGTGCAGGTTGCAGTGAGCCGAGATCATGCCATTGCACTCCAGCCTGGGCAATAGACTCCGTCTCAATTAAAAAAAAAAAAAGAATCCAATTAATTAATGTCTCATTCCTTGACATTTAAAATTTGTAGATTGTGTGCCCTTAATTTGCAGTTTATAGACTATGTTATTATGATTTTAATTTCTTGAGACAAAGTCTCACTCTGTCACCCAGCTGTACTGCAGTGGTGTGATAATTGCCTCAGTGCAACCTCTGTCTCCTGTATTCAAGGGATCTTCTCACCTCAGCCTTCCCAGTAGCTGGGATTACAGTCCCACACCATGAGGCCTGGCTAATTGTATTTTCAGTAGAGATGGGGTTGTACCATATTGCCCAGGCTGGTCTGGAACCCCTGGACTCCATGTAATCTGCCAGCCCTTAGCCTCCCAAAGTGCTGGGATTACAGGCAAGAGTCACCCCACCCAAGAATGCTATTGTGATTTTGAAAGATAGGCTTTGTTTTTTACTAAAATTATAAAGATATTCCTTCCACTATGTTCTATTAAATTTTTTTATAATGATGGGGTCTCGCTTTGTTAGCCAGGCTGGTCTGGAACACCTGGACTCAAGCAAACCCCCCACCTTGTCTCCTAAAGTCTTGGGATTACAGGCATGAGCCACCATGTCTGGCCCCATACACTATTTTCAAGAGTAGAGTCTTTGTTTTGAATGTAGGATCCATTTCTTCCCCTAGACTCAATCCCAAAGTGTGCTATTATTATTATTATTATTATTATTATTATTATTATTATTACTTGAGACAGGGTCTTTCTCTGTTGCCCAGGCTGGAGTGTGGTGGCAAAATCTCAGATAACTGAAACCTCTGCTTCCCAGGCTCAAGCCATCCTCCCACCTCCATCTGCAGAGTAGCTGAGACTATAGGCATGTGCCACAATGCTCAGATAATTACTTAATATTCTAGTAGAGTCTAGTAGACATGGGCTATCACTATGTTGCCCTAGCTGGTCTGGAACTCCTGGGCTCAAGTGATTGTTCTGCCTTGGCTTCCCAAAGTGTTGGGATTACAGCTGTAAGCCGCCATGCTTGGCTTCCCTTTACTTTTTTTTTTTTTTTTTGAGACAGAGTCTCACTCTGACACCCAGGCTGGAATGCAGTGGCTAGATTTTGGCTCACTGAAAACTCTGGACCTCGGGTTGAGAGATTCTCCTGCCTCAGCTTCCCAAGTAGCTGGGATTACAGGCAGGGACCACCACACCCGGCTAATATTTTGTATCGGTAGAGATGGTATTTCACCATGTTGGCCGGGCTGGTCTCGAACTCCTGACCTCATGATCCGCCCACCTTGGGCTCCTAAAGTGCTGGGATTACAGGCATGAGCCACAGTGCCTGGCCAAGAAGACATTTTGTTTTCTCAAAAAAGTGGAGATCTGAGCTTCAAAGATCCTTGCTAACACTTCCCAGTGCTATCAGTGTAGTAGTGCAGTGGCTAATAATTCATGGACCCTATAGGAGGGATCTTGCCTGCTCTTTAGAGGTTGGGACACACTCTTCTTAGTACCAGAAGGGCAGAACTATGCCTCTGTGGCCACTTATTGCAGAATGGAATTGGAGTAAACTGAGGGCTCTTTCACACATGCTAGAGAACTGACTTTGGCCCTAGGAGAAGCGGGGGTTGCAGGGGATTGGCCTGAGAAACTTGCCTTTTCACTGGATTGTCCTCTAGAGTTTTTCCTTGCAGATTTGTCAGAATGAGCCTCCAGTCCCCATCCAGACTCCTGGAGCTGGCAGGGCAGAGCCTGCTGAGGAACCAGTTCTTGACCATCTTCATCCTGGACGAGCTGCCCAGGGAGGTCTTCCCTCTGATGTTCATGGAGGCCGTCAGCAGGAGACGCTGTGAGGCCCTGAAGCTGATGGTGCAGGCCTGGTCCTTCCTCCACCTCCCTCTGGGATCCCTGATGAAGACACCTCATCTGGAGACCTTGCAAGCTGTGCTGAAGGGACTTGATACACTGCTGGCCCAGAAGGTTTGCCTCAGGTGAGGTGACTCAGGTGGCCTGGTGGGAAGGGTCCAGGCATCCAGGGAAGGGACAGCTGGCTCAGGAGGAGTGGTGGGGTTGGGGAGCTAGGGTGGCTCAGAGGCTTCTGATGGTGCCCATGAGAGGCCTTGACCATTGCCCAGATCCTCTGGGAAAGGACTGCTCACCATACAGGGTCCACTGAGGAAACAGGAACCTGCTTTCTCCCAGTGGAACGTAAAGATTCTAGAAGTGAGAACCAGGCAGAACCCAAGGGGGAGCGGGATGGAGAAGAGACAGAAGGAGGAGCACTGAGGACAGGAGCAGCTGACTGATGTCCTGGATGTTGAGTGAAAGCTCAGGTCAGGGGTGGGTCCTTGCCTACATTCTGAGCTTTTCCCCTATGTTACTCACAGGAGGTGGAAACTTCAAGTGCTGGATTTGCGGGATGTTGATGGGAATTTCTGGACCATATGGTCTGGAGCCAAGGTCCTCTCCTGCTCCCCAGAGGCCATGAGTAAAAGACAGACAGTGGAGGACTGTCCAAGGATGGGAGAGTGCCAGCCCTTGAAGGTGTTCATAGACCGCTGCCTAAAGAAAAGTATGCTGGATGAATGCCTGAGCTACCTTTGTGGGTAGATCCACTACAGAAGAGGTCTAGTGCACCTGTGCTGTAATAAGGTGCAGAATTACTCAATGCCCACTTCAAGTTTCAGAAATTTATTGAAAAGGGTATACCCAGACAGTATCTAGGAGTTGGAAGTTAGGAGAAAGTGCTCTCTGAATAAAACAGGAAAGTTTGCCCCTTACCTGAGCCAGATGAGCAATCTTCACAAACTCTTTTTAGCCTTCGGTTATGACAGTGAGTTATATGTAAGCGGCCAACAATAGTTCGTTCCTGACTTGGACTGCCCATTCCTCTGCCTGTCCTACCCTCAGATGCTTTATATAAGAAAGGTCAATAATTTCAAAGACCTGGAGCACCTGCTCAGGTAAGAAAGGATGGTGAGCTTTCTCTGCAGACCATACCACAGACTTTTGTTCTTTTTCACAGTAAACGCTAGTGGGCATCTACTGTGTGCCAGCCACTGGTGATGTCACAGGGAATGGGACGCTAGAATGTCAACTCATTATGCTGTTCAGTGCTCTATATCCTGAAGTGGGTATCACAAGCCCGCTCAAATAAGGGCAGAGGGATGGCCCGGGCCAGATGCTACAGAGAGAGACATGCAGGGATCTAGTTAGTCAGGGGTTCAGATCTAGGGAGGGTGCATTTGTGAATTCCTTTTTAGGAAGTGCGTTTGAAGTTAATATGATGAAACTTACTCTTCATATAGAGGAGAGTATGAAAGAAGGGAAAGTGCATCAAACCTGTGCATTTCACAGTAGAAGCTCCGTCCTCACAGCTTAGTAAACACCAATGATCCTGTCTCTAATTCTCTGTCTGTAAAAGGTTCTTTTGAACCCCAGGAAAAGTAGTTGACATGAGAAAAGCATGCTTCTTGGACAGAGGTGAGGGAGTAGGCAGGAGAGTGGTATAAAGTGATAGGTGGTTTGCAGACGTGGGCACGTCAGGGAACCTTTGCAGACAGGTGGCCCTAGCTGATGTCCCTAGACCTTGCTCAGTTGAGTTCTTTGTGCAAATCTCCCACTGGGCTCCTCTGGCCCAGAGATGAGGTTGTCTGCTGAAAGATGCAGTAAAGAGGCTTTAAAGATTTTGTGGCCTTGAACCAATCACACAAGCAAGGCTGAAAGGACTGAGCCTAAAATGGAGCTGCCCCTGAATGATCTGAGTCTTCATCAGGCAGCACCTTGCACACAGACCATCATCTGATGATGGGAACAAACTTGTGTTTGGGTGAAACAGGCTTCCCCATTGCAGTTACTATAACACCTGTGTGGTAGTAAGGTGCAGAATTACTCAATGCCCACTTCAAGTTTACCATTGAGATGATTTCCCACCCCTCTCCTCTAACTGGCACCATTGCCCATAACTAATTTCTTGCTCTCCCCAGGTGCCTCAAGAACCTCTTGGGGGCCTTTATATTCTGTCATGCTTACCTAGCTGATCGGGACATGGAGTGTCTGTCTCAGTACCCAAGCCTCAGTCAGCTAAAGGAGCTGCATCTGATTCATATCCTAATGTGGACCACCAATCTTGAGCCCCTTGGAGCTCTGCTAGAGAAAGTTGCTGCTACTCTTGAGACCCTCACGTTAAAGGACTGTCAGATCCAGGACTCCCAACTCAGGGTCCTCCTGCCTGCCCTGAGCCACTGCTCCCAGCTCACCACCTTCTACTTTCAAGGAAACGAGACTTCCATGAATGCTCTGAAAGACCTTCTGTGTCACACAGGCGGGCTGAGCAAGTTAGGTCTGGAGTTGTATCCTTCCCGTCTGGAGAGTCTTGACAACAGGGGTCATGCCAATTGGGAGATCCTTGCCCCAATTCGGGCTGAGCTGATGTGTACACTCAGGGAAGTCAGGCAGCCCAAGAGGATCTTTTTTGGTCCCGTCCCCTGCCCTTCCTGTGGCTCATGGCCATCTGAGAAAGTGGACCTCCATCTTTGCTCTTAGGGAAGGCCTGGCTAGTGGGATGGATACGCTTTCTTCTGGACCCTTGGGCACTAAAATCTAGGACACAGGTGCTTTTTTTTTTTGATGGAGTCTCACTCTGTCCCTCAGGCTGAAGTGCACTGGCACAATCTCAGCTCACTGCAACTTCCACCTCCCAGGTTCAAGTGATTCTCCTGCCTCAGCCTCCCTAGTAGCTGGTGTTACTGGCATGCACCACCACATCCAGCTAATTTTGTATTTTTTTTCTTTTTTTTTTGAGACAGAGTCTCGCTCTGTCACCCAGTCTGGAGTGCACTGGCACGATTTCGGCTCACTGCAACCTCCGCCTCCAGGGTTCACGCCATTCTCCTGCCTCAGCCTCCAGAGTAGCTGGGACTACAGGTGCCCACCACCACACCCAGCTAATTTTTGGTATTTTTAGTAGAGTCAGGGTTTCACCAAGTTAGCCAAGATGGTCTCGATCTCCTGACCTCGTGATCCACCCGCCTCGGCCTCCCAAAGTGTAATTTTTGTATTTTTAGTAGAGACAGGGTTTCACGATGTTGGAGGAGGCTGGCCTCAAACTCCTGACCTCAAGTGATCTGACTACCTTGGACTTCCACAGTGCTGGGTTTACAGGCATGAGCAGCCTGGCCCGGTCAGGTGCATCTTAAAGGAAGCACACGGTCATGTGTTTCAGGCACGTGCTGACTGTGAGTGGAAAAACAAAGGTGACTCAGCTGGGGGCAGGACTTGGTGAAAATGCTGACTTGGCATCAATAAAGCCTTCAGGGACCTGTTTCCTAGACTCGGAAATGGAACCTGAAGTTCTAGAATGATGCAGGAGTTACCCTCGCAAGGATGGTTATTTAAAAATGTCAAAAATAAATGGAACCTGAATGGAAACTTTCTGGTGTCTTCCATGATTGATCAACCTGTTTTAGCCATTTATATATCAGAAATCTCTAGTTACTGATGAGAGGTACTACGTCATCTGTGATTGAGGTTCAGCTGCAGCAAATCAAGGCATCAAAACTGAAATGTGATCATTTTGATTAGTTCTCACTCATTTTTTGCTTCCTTTCAGTCATCTGTTTCTTCCTTAATTTCTCCCATGCCTGTTCACTGGGTTCATTCACAAAGGATGCACACTTGGGGCCTGGAACATTCTGTGTGGGCAGTGATGATGAGCCACTGAAACCTACCCTCTTCTCAGGGGCCCTCACTGCTCCCCAGATACTGAGACCCTGCTCACTCCTAATGGACAGATCCAGAGGAATCCGTTCCTGATCTTTGGCCATGCCAGGAAATGGCTTCATTGGACCAGGAGTGAATTC